>NC_000008.11:45682562-45864252 GCF_000001405.40 Homo sapiens
TCTACTCAACTAACTGTGCTGAACATTTCTATTGATAGAGCAGTTTTGAGACACTCTTCTTTTGGAATCTGCAAGTGGATATTTGGATAGATTTGAGGATTTCGTTGGAAACGGGATTATATATAAAAAGTAGACAGCAGCATTCTCAGAAACTTCTTTGTGATGTTTGCATCCAGCTCTCAGAGTTGAACATTCCCTTTCATAGAGTAGGTTTGAAACCCTCTTTTTATAGTGTCTGGAAGCGGGCATTTGGAGCGCTTTCAGGCCTATGCTTAAAATAGGAAATATCTACCTACAGAAACTAGACAGAAGCATTCTGAGAATCACGTTTGTGATGTGGGTACTCAACTAACAGTGTTGATCCATTCTTTTGATACAGCAGTTTTGAACCACACTTTTTGTAGAATCTGCAAGAGGATATTTGGATAGCTGTGAGGATTTCGTTGGAAACGGGAATGTCTTCAAAGAAAATCTAGACAGAAACATTCTCAGAAACACCTTCGTGATGTTTGCAATCAAGTCACAGAGTTGAACCTTCCGTTTCATAGAGCAGGTTGGAAACACTCTTATTGTAGTATCTGGAAGTGGACATTTGGAGCGCTTTCAGGCCTATGGTGAAAAAGGAAATATCTTCCCATAAAAACGACATAGAAGCTATCTCAGGAACTTGTTTATGAGGCATCTAATCAACTAACAGTGTTGAACCTTTGTACTGACAGAGCAGTTTGAAACACTCTTTTTTTGGAATCTGCAAGTGGATATTTGGATCGCTTTGAGGATTTCGTTGGAAACGGGATGCAATATAAAACGTACACAGCAGCATACTCAGAAAATACTTTGCCATATTTCCATTCAAGTCACAGAGTGGAACATTCCCATTCATAGAGCAGGTTTGAAACACTCTTTTTGGAGTATCTGGAAGTGGACATTTGGAGCGCTTTCTGAACTATGGTGAAAAAGGAAATATCTTCCAATGAAAACAAGACAGAAGCATTCTGAGAAACTTATTTGTGATGTGTGTCCTCAACAAACGGACTTGAACCTTTCGTTTCATGCAGTACTTCTGGAACACTCTTTTTGAAGATTCTGCATGCGGATATTTGGATAGCTTTGAGGATTTCGTTGGAAACGGGCTTACATGTAAAAATTAGACAGCAGCATTCTCAGAAACTTCTTTGTGGTGTCTGCATTCAAGTCACAGAATTGAACTTCCCCTCACATAGAGCAGTTGTGCAGCACTCTATTTGTAGTATCTGGAAGTGGACATTTGGAGGGCTTTGTAGCCTATCTGGAAAAAGGAAATATCTTCCCATGAATGCGAGATAGAAGTAATCTCAGAAACATGTTTATGCTGTATCTACTCAACTAACTGTGCTGAACATTTCTATTGATAGAGCAGTTTTGAGACACTCTTCTTTTGGAATCTGCAAGTGGATATTTGGATAGATTTGAGGATTTCGTTGGAAACGGGATTATATATAAAAAGTAGACAGCAGCATTCTCAGAAACTTCTTTGTGATGTTTGCATCCAGCTGTCAGAGTTGAGCATTCCCTTTCATAGAGTAGGTTTGAAACCCTCTTTTTATAGTGTCTGGAAGCGGGCATTTGGAGCGCTTTCAGGCCTATGCTTAAAATAGGAAATATCTACCTACAGAAACTAGACAGAAGCATTCTGAGAATCACGTTTGTGATGTGGGTACTCAACTAACAGTGTTGATCCATTCTTTTGATACAGCAGTTTTGAACCACACTTTTTGTAGAATCTGCAAGTGGATATTTGGATAGCTGTGAGGATTTCGTTGGAAACGGTAATGTCTTCAAAGAAAATCTAGACAGAAGCATTCTCAGAACCTTGATTGTGATGTGTGTTCTCCACTAACAGAGTTGAACCTTTCTTTTGACAGAACTGTTCTGAAACATTCTTTTTATAGAATCTGGAAGTGGATATTTGGAAAGCTTTGAGGATTTCGTTGGAAACGGGAATATCTTCAAATCAAATCTAGCCAGAAGCATTCTAAGAAACATCTTAGGGATGTTTACATTCAAGTCACAGAGTTGAACATTCCCTTTCACAGAGCAGGTTTGAAACAATCTTCTCGTACTATCTGGCAGTGGACATTTTGAGCTCCTTGGGGCCTATGCTGAAAAAGGAAATATCTTCCGACAAAAACTAGACAGAAGCATTCGCAGAATCACGTTTGTGATGTGTGCACTCAACTGTCAGAATTGAACCTTTGTTTGGACAGAGCACTTTTGAAACACTCTTTTTGTAGAATCTGCAGGTGGATATTTGGCTAGCTTTGAGGATTTCGTTGGAAACGGTAATGTCTTCAAAGAAAATCTAGACAGAAGCATTCTCAGAAACACCTTCGTGATGTTTGCAATCAAGTCACAGAGTTGAACCTTCCGTTTCATAGAGCAGGTTGGAAACACTCTTTTTGTAGTATCTGGAAGTGGACATTTGGAGGGCTTTGTAGCCTATCTGGAAAAAGGAAATATCTTCCCATGAATGCGAGATAGAAGCTATCTCAGGAACTTGTTTATGATGCATCTAATCAACTAACAGTGTTGAACCTTTGTACTGACAGAGCAGTTTGAAACACTCTTTTTTTGGAATCTGCAAGTGGATATTTGGATCGCTTTGAGGATTTCGTTGGAAACGGGATGCAATATAAAACGTACACAGCAGCATACTCAGAAAATACTTTGCCATATTTCCATTCAAGTCACAGAGTGGAACATTCCCATTCATAGAGCAGGTTGGAAACACTCTTTTTGGAGTATCTGGAAGTGGACATTTGGAGCGCTTTCTGAACTATGGTGAAAAAGGAAATATCTTCCAATGAAAACAAGACAGAAGCATTCTGAGAAACTTATTTGTGATGTGTGTCCTCAACAAACGGACTTGAACCTTTCGTTTCATGCAGTACTTCTGGAACACTCTTTTTGAAGATTCTGCATGCGGATATTTGGATAGCTTTGAGGATTTCGTTGGAAACGGGCTTACATGTAAAAATTAGACAGCAGCATTCTCAGAAACTTCTTTGTGGTGTCTGCATTCAAGTCACAGAATTGAACTTCCCCTCACATAGAGCAGTTGTGCAGCACTCTATTTGTAGTATCTGGAAGTGGACATTTGGAGGGCTTTGTAGCCTATCTGGAAAAAGGAAATATCTTCCCATGAATGCGAGATAGAAGTAATCTCAGAAACATGTTTATGCTGTATCTACTCAACTAACTGTGCTGAACATTTCTATTGATAGAGCAGTTTTCAGACACTCTTCTTTTGGAATCTGCAAGTGGATATTTGGATAGATTTGAGGATTTCGTTGGAAACGGGATTATATATAAAAAGTAGACAGCAGCATTCTCAGAAACTTCTTTGTGATGTTTGCATCCAGCTCTCAGAGTTGAACATTCCCTTTCATAGAGTAGGTTTGAAACCCTCTTTTTATAGTGTCTGGAAGCGGGCATTTGGAGCGCTTTCAGGCCTATGCTTAAAATAGGAAATATCTACCTACAGAAACTAGACAGAAGCATTCTGAGAATCACGTTTGTGATGTGGGTACTCAACTAACAGTGTTGATCCATTCTTTTGATACAGCAGTTTTGAACCACACTTTTTGTAGAATCTGCAAGAGGATATTTGGATAGCTGTGAGGATTTCGTTGGAAACGGGAATGTCTTCAAAGAAAATCTAGACAGAAGCATTCTCAGAAACACCTTCGTGATGTTTGCAATCAAGTCACAGAGTTGAACCTTCCGTTTCATAGAGCAGGTTGGAAACACTCTTATTGTAGTATCTGGAAGTGGACATTTGGAGCGCTTTCAGGCCTATGGTGAAAAAGGAAATATCTTCCCATAAAAACGACATAGAAGCTATCTCAGGAACTTGTTTATGATGCATCCAATCAACTAACAGTGTTGAACCTTTGTACTGACAGAGCAGTGTGAAACACTCCTTTTTTTGGAATCTGCAAGTGGATATTTGGATCGCTTTGAGGATTTCGTTGGAAACGGGATGCAATATAAAAGTACACAGCAGCATACTCAGAAAATACTTTGCCATATTTCCATTCAAGTCACAGAGTGGAACATTCCCATTCATAGAGCAGGTTTGACACACTCTTTTTGTAGTATCTGGAAGTGGACATTTGGAGCGATTTCTGAACTATAGTGAAAAAGGAAATATCTTCCAACGAAAACAAGACAGAAGCATTCTGAGAAACTTATTTGTGATGCGTGTCCTCAACTAACGGACTCGAACCTTTCGTTTCATGCAGTACTTCTGGAACACTGTTTTTGAAGATTCTGCATGCGGATATTTGGTTAGCTTTGAGGATTTCGTTGGAAACGGGCTTACATATAAAAATTAGACAGCAGCATTCTCAGAAACTTCTTTGTGGTGTCTGCATTCAAGTCACAGAATTGAACATCCCCTCACATAGAGCAGTTGTGCAGCACTCTATTTGTAGTATCTCGAAGTGGACATTTGGAGGGCTTTGTAGCCCATCTGGATAAAGGAAATATCTTCCCATGAATGCGAGATAGAAGTAATCTCAGAAACATGTTTATGCTGTATCTACTCAACTAACTGTGCTGAACATTTCTATTGATAGAGCAGTTTTGAGACACTCTTCTTTTGGAATCTGCAAGTGGATATTTGGATAGATTTGAGGATTTCGTTGGAAACGGGATTATATATCAAAAGTAGACAGCAGCATTCTCAGAAACTTCTTTGTGATGTTTGCATCCAGCTCTCAGAGTTGAACATTCCCTTTCATAGAGTAGGTTTGAAACCCTCTTTTTATAGTGTCTGGAAGCGGGCATTTGGAGCGCTTTCAGGCCTATGCTGAAAAAGGAAATATCTACCTATAGAAACTAGACAGAAGCATTCTGAGAATCACGTTTGTGATGTGGGTACTCAACTAACAGTGTTGATCCATTCTTTTGATACAGCAGTTTTGAACCACACTTTTTGTAGAATCTGCAAGTGGATATTTGGATAGCTGTGAGGATTTCGTTGGAAACGGGAATGTCTTCATAGAAAATTTAGACAGAAGCATTCTCAGAACCTTGATTGTGATGTGTGTTCTCCACTAACAGAGTTGAACCTTTCTTTTGACAGAACTGTTCTGAAACATTCTTTTTATAGAATCTGGAAGTGGATATTTGGAAAGCTTTGAGGATTTCGTTGGAAACGGGAATATCTTCAAATCAAATCTAGCCAGAAGCATTCTAAGAAACATCCTAGGGATGTTTACATTCAAGTCACAGAGTTGAACATTCCCTTTCACAGAGCAGGTTTGAAACAATCTTCTCGTACTATCTGGAAGTGGACATTTTGAGCTCCTTGGGGCCTATGCTGAAAAAGGAAATATCTTCCGACAAAAACTAGACAGAAGCATTCGCAGAATCACGTTTGTGATGTGTGCACTCAACTGTCGGAATTGAACCTTTGTTTGGACAGAGCACTTTTGAAACACTCTTTTTGTAGAATCTGCAGGTGGATATTTGGCTAGCTTTGAGGATTTCGTTGGAAACGGTAATGTCTTCAAAGAAAATCTAGACAGAAGCATTCTCAGAAACACCTTCGTGATGTTTGCAATCAAGTCACAGAGTTGAACCTTCCGTTTCATAGAGCAGGTTGGAAACACTCTTTTTGTAGTATCTGGAAGTGGACATTTGGAGGGCTTTGTAGCCTATCTGGAAAAAGGAAATATCTTCCCATGAATGCGAGATAGAATCTATATCAGGAACTTGTTTATGATGCATCTAATCAACTAACAGTGTTGAACCTTTGTACTGACAGAGCAGTTTGAAACACTCTTTTTTTGGAATCTGCAAGTGGATATTTGGATCGCTTTGAGGATTTCGTTGGAAACGGGATGCAATATAAAACGTACACAGCAGCATACTCAGAAAATTCTTTGCCATATTTCCATTCAAGTCACAGAGTGGAACATTCCCATTCATAGAGCAGGTTGGAAACACTCTTTTTGGAGTATCTGGAAGTGGACATTTGGAGCGCTTTCTGAACTATGGTGAAAAAGGAAATATCTTCCAATGAAAACAACACAGAAGCATTCTGAGAAACTTATTTGTGATGTGTGTCCTCAACAAACGGACTTGAACCTTTCGTTTCATGCAGTACTTCTGGAACACTCTTTTTGAAGATTCTGCATGCGGATATTTGGATAGCTTTGAGGATTTCGTTGGAAACGGGCTTACATGTAAAAATTAGACAGCAGAATTCTCAGAAACTTCTTTGTGGTGTCTGCATTCAAGTCACAGTAATTGAACATCCCCTCACATAGAGCAGTTGTGCAGCACTCTATTTGTAGTATCTGGAAGTGGACATTTGGAGGGCATTGTAGCCTATCTGGAAAAAGGAAATATCTTCCCATGAATGCGAGATAGAAGTAATCTCAGAAACATGTTTATGCTGTATCTACTCAACTAACTGTGCTGAACATTTCTATTGATAGAGCAGTTTTGAGACACTCTTCTTTTGGAATCTGCAAGTGGATATTTGGATAGATTTGAGGATTTCGTTGGAAACGGGATTATATATAAAAAGTAGACAGCAGCATTCTCAGAAACTTCTTTGTGATGTTTGCATCCAGCTCTCAGAGTTGAACATTCCCTTTCATAGAGTAGGTTTGAAACCCTCTTTTTATAGTGTCTGGAAGCGGGCATTTGGAGCGCTTTCAGGCCTATGCTTAAAATAGGAAATATCTACCTACAGAAACTAGACAGAAGCATTCTGAGAATCACGTTTGTGATGTGGGTACTCAACTAACAGTGTTGATCCATTCTTTTGATACAGCAGTTTTGAACCACACTTTTTGTAGAATCTGCAAGAGGATATTTGGATAGCTGTGAGGATTTCGTTGGAAACGGGAATGTCTTCAAAGAAAATCTAGACAGAAGCATTCTCAGAAACACCTTCGTGATGTTTGCAATCAAGTCACAGAGTTGAACCTTCCGTTTCATAGAGCAGGTTGGAAACACTCTTATTGTAGTATCTGGAAGTGGACATTTGGAGCGCTTTCAGGCCTATGGTGAAAAAGGAAATATCTTCCCATAACAACGACATAGAAGCTATCTCAGGAACTTGTTTATGATGCATCTAATCAACTAACAGTGTTGAACCTTTGTACTGACAGAGCAGTTTGAAACACTCTTTTTTTGGAATCTGCAAGTGGATATTTGGATCGCTTTGAGGATTTCGTTGGAAACGGGATGCAATATAAAACGTACACAGCAGCATACTCAGAAAATACTTTGCCATATTTCCATTCAAGTCACAGAGTGGAACATTCCCATTCATAGAGCAGGTTTGAAACACTTTTTTTGGAGTGTCTGGAAGTGGACATTTGGAGCGCTTTCAGAACTATGGTGAAAAAGGAAATATCTTCCAATGAAAACAAGACAGAAGCATTCTGAGAAACTTATTTGTGATGCGTGTCCTCAACTAACGAACTCGAACCTTTCGTTTCATGCAGTACTTCTGGAACACTCTTTTTGAAGATTCTGCATGCGGATATTTGGTTAGCTTTGAGGATTTCGTTGGAAACGGGCTTACATATAAAAATTAGACAGCAGCATTCTCAGAAACTTCTTTGTGGTGTCTGCATTCAAGTCACAGAATTGAACATCCCCTCACATAGAGCAGTTGTGCAGCACTCTATTTGTAGTATCTCGAAGTGGACATTTGGAGGGCTTTGTAGCCTATCTGGAAAAAGGAAATATCTTCCCATGAAAGCCAGATAGAAGTAATCTCAGAAACATGTTTATGCTGTATCTACTCAACTAACTGTGCTGAACATTTCTATTGATAGAGCAGTTTTGAGACACTCTTCTTTTGGAATCTGCAAGTGGATATTTGGATAGATTTGAGGATTTCGTTGGAAACGGGATTATATATAAAAAGTAGACAGCAGCATTCTCAGAAACTTCTTTGTGATGTTTGCATCCAGCTCTCAGAGTTGAACATTCCCTTTCATAGAGTAGGTTTGAAACCCCCTTTTTATACTGTCTGGAAGCGGGCATTTGGAGCGCTTTCAGGCCTATGCTGAAAAAGGAATTATCTACCTACAGAAACTAGACAGAAGCATTCTGAGAATCACGTTTGTGATGTGGGTACTCAACTAACAGTGTTGATTCATTCTTTTGATACAGCAGTTTTGAACCACACTTTTTGTAGAATCTGCAAGTGGATATTTGGATAGCTGTGAGGATTTCCTTGGAAACGGGAATGTCTTCATAGAAAATTTAGACAGAAGCATTCTCAGAACCTTGATTGTGATGTGTGTTCTCCACTAACAGGGTTGAACCTTTCTTTTGACAGAACTGTTTTGAAACATTCTTTTTATAGAATCTGGAAGTGGATATTTGGAAAGCTTTGAGGATTTCATTGGAAACGGGAATATCTTCAAATCAAATCTAGCCAGAAGCATTCTAAGAAACATCTTAGGGATGTTTACATTCAAGTCACAGAGTTGAACATTCCCTTTCACAGAGCAGGTTTGAAACAATCTTCTCGTACTATCTGGAAGTGGACATTTTGAGCTCCTTGGGGCCTATGCTGAAAAAGGAAATATCTTCCGACAAAAACTAGACAGAAGCATTCGCAGAATCACGTTTGTGATGTGTGCACTGAAGTGTCAGAATTGAACCTTTGTTTGGACAGAGCACTTTTGAAACACTCTTTTTGTAGAATCTGCAGGTGGATATTTGGCTAGCTTTGAGGATTTCGTTGGAAACGGTAATGTCTTCAAAGAAAATCTAGACAGAAGCATTCTCAGAAACACTTCGTGATGTTTGCAATCAAGTCACAGAGTTGAACCTTCCGTTTCATAGAGCAGGTTGGAAACACTCTTATTGTAGTATCTGGAAGTGGACATTTGGAGCGCTTTCAGGCCTATGGTGAAAAAGGAAATATCTTCCCATAAAAACGACATAGAAGCTATCTCAGGAACTTGTTTATGATGCATCTAATCAACTAACAGTGTTGAACCTTTGTACTGACAGAGCAGTTTGAAACACTCTTTTTTTGGAATCTGCAAGTGGATATTTGGATCGCTTTGAGGATTTCGTTGGAAACGGGATGCAATATAAAACGTACACAGCAGCATACTCAGAAAATACTTTGCCATATTTCCATTCAAGTCAGAGAGTGGAACATTCCCATTCATAGAGCAGGTTTGAAACACTCTTTTTGGAGTATCTGGAAGTGGACATTTGGAGCGCTTTCTGAACTATGGTGAAAAAGGAAATATCTTCCAATGAAAACAAGACAGAAGCATTCTGAGAAACTTATTTGTGATGTGTGTCCTCAACAAACGGACTTGAACCTTTCGTTTCATGCAGTACTTCTGGAACACTCTTTTTGAAGATTCTGCATGCGGATATTTGGATAGCTTTGAGGATTTCGTTGGAAACGGGCTTACATGTAAAAATTAGACAGCAGCATTCTCAGAAACTTCTTTGTGGTGTCTGCATTCAAGTCACAGAATTGAACTTCCCCTCACATAGAGCAGTTGTGCAGCACTCTATTTGTAGTATCTCGAAGTGGACATTTGGAGGGCTTTGTAGCCTATCTGGAAAAAGGAAATATCTTCCCATGAATGCGAGATAGAAGTAATCTCAGAAACATGTTTATGCTGTATCTAATCAACTAACTGTGCTGAACATTTCTATTGATAGAGCAGTTTTGAGACACTCTTCTTTTGGAATCTGCAAGTGGATATTTGGATAGATTTGAGGATTTCGTTGGAAACGGGATTATATATAAAAAGTAGACAGCAGCATTCTCAGAAACTTCTTTGTGATGTTTGCATCCAGCTCTCAGAGTTGAACATTCCCTTTCATAGAGTAGGTTTGAAACCCTCTTTTTATAGTGTCTGGAAGCGGGCATTTGGAGCGCTTTCAGGCCTATGCTTAAAATAGGAAATATCTACCTACAGAAACTAGACAGAAGCATTCTGAGAATCACGTTTGTGATGTGGGTACTCAACTAACAGTGTTGATCCATTCTTTTGATACAGCAGTTTTGAACCACACTTTTTGTAGAATCTGCAAGTGGATATTTGGATAGCTGTGAGGATTTCGTTGGAAACGGGAATGTCTTCATAGAAAATTTAGACAGAAGCATTCTCAGAACCTTGATTGTGATGTGTGTTCTCCACTAACAGAGTTGAACCTTTCTTTTGACAGAACTGTTCTGAAACATTCTTTTTATAGAATCTGGAAGTGGATATTTGGAAAGCTTTGAGGATTTCGTTGGAAACGGGAATATCTTCAAATCAAATCTAGCCAGAAGCATTCTAAGAAACATCTTAGGGATGTTTACATTCAAGTCACAGAGTTGAACATTCCCTTTCACAGAGCAGGTTTGAAACAATCTTCTCGTACTATCTGGCAGTGGACATTTTGAGCTCCTTGGGGCCTATGCTGAAAAAGGAAATATCTTCCGACAAAAACTAGACAGAAGCATTCGCAGAATCACGTTTGTGATGTGTGCACTCAACTGTCAGAATTGAACCTTGGTTTGGACAGAGCACTTTTGAAACACTCTTTTTGTAGAATCTGCAGGTGGATATTTGGCTAGCTTTGAGGATTTCGTTGGAAACGGTAATGTCTTCAAAGAAAATCTAGACAGAAGCATTCTCAGAAACACCTTCGTGATGTTTGCAATCAAGTCACAGAGTTGAACCTTCCGTTTCATAGAGCAGGTTGGAAACACTCTTTTTGTAGTATCTGGAAGTGGACATTTGGAGCGCTTTCAGGCCTATGGTGAAAAAGGAAATATCTTCCCATAAAAACGACATAGAAGCTATCTCAGGAACTTGTTTATGATGCATCTAATCAACTAACAGTGTTGAACCTTTGTACTGACAGAGCAGTTTGAAACACTCTTTTTTTGGAATCTGCAAGTGGATATTTGGATCGCTTTGAGGATTTCGTTGGAAACGGGATGCAATATAAAACGTACACAGCAGCATACTCAGAAAATACTTTGCCATGTTTCCATTCAAGTCACAGTGTGGAACATTCCCATTCATAGAGCAGGTTTGAAACACTTTTTTTGGAGTGTCTGGAAGTGGACATTTGGAGCGCTTTCAGAACTATGGTGAAAAAGGAAATATCTTCCAATGAAAACAAGACAGAAGCATTCTGAGAAACTTATTTGTGATGTGTGTCCTCAACAAACGGACTTGAACCTTTCGTTTCATGCAGTACTTCTGGAACACTCTTTTTGAAGATTCTGCATGCGGATATTTGGATAGCTTTGAGGATTTCGTTGGAAACGGGCTTACATGTAAAAATTAGACAGCAGCATTCTCAGAAACTTCTTTGTGGTGTCTGCATTCAAGTCACAGAATTGAACATCCCCTCACATAGAGCAGTTGTGCAGCACTCTATTTGTAGTATCTGGAAGTGGACATTTGGAGGGCTTTGTAGCCTATCTGGAAAAAGGAAATATCTTCCCATGAATGCGAGATAGAAGTAATCTCAGAAACATGTTTATGCTGTATCTACTCAACTAACTGTGCTGAACATTTCTATTGATAGAGCAGTTTTGAGACACTCTTCTTTTGGAATCTGCAAGTGGATATTTGGATAGATTTGAGGATTTCGTTGGAAACGGGATTATATATAAAAAGTAGACAGCAGCATTCTCAGAAACTTCTTTGTGATGTTTGCATCCAGCTCTCAGAGTTGAACATTCCCTTTCATAGAGTAGGTTTGAAACCCTCTTTTTATAGTGTCTGGAAGCGGGCATTTGGAGCGCTTTCAGGCCTATGCTTAAAATAGGAAATATCTACCTACAGAAACTAGACAGAAGCATTCTGAGAATCACGTTTGTGATGTGGGTACTCAACTAACAGTGTTGATCCATTCTTTTGATACAGCAGTTTTGAACCACACTTTTTGTAGAATCTGCAAGAGGATATTTGGATAGCTGTGAGGATTTCGTTGGAAACGGGAATGTCTTCAAAGAAAATCTAGACAGAAGCATTCTCAGAAACACCTTCGTGATGTTTGCAATCAAGTCACAGAGTTGAACCTTCCGTTTCATAGAGCAGGTTGGAAACACTCTTATTGTAGTATCTGGAAGTGGACATTTGGAGCGCTTTCAGGCCTATGGTGAAAAAGGAAATATCTTCCCATAAAAACGACATAGAAGCTATCTCAGGAAATTGTTTATGATGCATCTAATCAACTAACAGTGTTGAACCTTTGTACTGACAGAGCACTTTGAAACACTCTTTTTTTGGAATCTGCAAGTGGATATTTGGATCGCTTTGAGGATTTCGTTGGAAACGGGATGCAATATAAAACGTACACAGCAGCATACTCAGAAAATACTTTGCCATATTTCCATTCAAGTCACAGAGTGGAACATTCCCATTCATAG
The DNA here is from genome assembly GCF_000001405.40 of Homo sapiens. Lineage (NCBI taxonomy): Eukaryota > Metazoa > Chordata > Mammalia > Primates > Hominidae > Homo > Homo sapiens. Next base: position 45,694,990 of record NC_000008.11, read on the forward strand.
AGCAGGTTGGAAACACTCTTTTTGGAGTATCTGGAAGTGGACATTTGGAGCGCTTTCTGAACTATGGTGAAAAAGGAAATATCTTCCAATGAAAACAAGACAGAAGCATTCTGAGAAACTTATTTGTGATGTGTGTCCTCAACAAACGGACTTGAACCTTTCGTTTCATGCAGTACTTCTGGAACACTCTTTTTGAAGATTCTGCATGCGGATATTTGGATAGCTTTGAGGATTTCGTTGGAAACGGGCTTACATGTAAAAATTAGACAGCAGCATTCTCAGAAACACCTTCGTGATGTTTGCAATCAAGTCACAGAGTTGAACCTTCCGTCTCATAGAGCAGGTTGGAAACACTCTTTTTGTAGTATCTGGAAGTGGACATTTGGAGGGCTTTGTAGCCTATCTGGAAAAAGGAAATATCTTCCCATGAATGCGAGATAGAAGTAATCTCAGAAACATGTTTATGCTGTATCTACTCAACTAACTGTGCTGAACATTTCTATTGATAGAGCAGTTTTGAGACACTCTTCTTTTGGAATCTGCAAGTGGATATTTGGATAGATTTGAGGATTTCGTTGGAAACGGGATTATATATAAAAAGTAGACAGCAGCATTCTCAGAAACTTCTTTGTGATGTTTGCATCCAGCTCTCAGAGTTGAACATTCCCTTTCATAGAGTAGGTTTGAAACCCTCTTTTTATAGTGTCTGGAAGCGGGCATTTGGAGCGCTTTCAGGCCTATGCTGAAAAAGGAAATATCTACCTATAGAAACTAGACAGAAGCATTCTGAGAATCACGTTTGTGATGTGGGTACTCAACTAACAGTGTTGATCCATTCTTTTGATACAGCAGTTTTGAACCACACTTTTTGTAGAATCTGCAAGTGGATATTTGGATAGCTGTGAGGATTTCGTTGGAAACGGGAATGTCTTCAAAGAAAATCTAGACAGAAGCATTCTCAGAACCTGGATTGTGATGTGAGTTCTCCACTAACAGAGTTGAACCTTTCTTTGGACAGAACTGTTTTGAAACATTCTTTTTATAGAATCTGGAAGTGTATATTTGGAAAGCTTTGAGGATTTCGTTGGAAACGGGAATATCTTCAAATAAAATCTAGCCAGAAGCATTCTAAGAAACATCTTAGGGATGTTTACATTCAAGTCACAGAGTTGAACATTCCCCTTTCTCAGAGCAGGTTTGAAACAATCTTCTCGTACTATCTGGCAGTGGACATTTTGAGCTCCTTGGGGCCTATGCTGAAAAAGGAAATATCTTCCGACAAAAACTAGACAGAAGCATTCGCAGAATCACGTTTGTGATGTGTGCACTCAACTGTCAGAATTGAACCTTGGTTTGGACAGAGCACTTTTGAAACACTCTTTTTGTAGAATCTGCAGGTGGATATTTGGCTAGCTTTGAGGATTTCGTTGGAAACGGTAATGTCTTCAAAGAAAATCTAGACAGAAGCATTCTCAGAAACACCTTCGTGATGTTTGCAATCAAGTCACAGAGTTGAACCTTCCGTTTCATAGAGCAGGTTGGAAACACTCTTTTTGTAGTATCTGGAAGTGGACATTTGGAGGGCTTTGTAGCCTATGTGGAAAAAGGAAATATCTTCCCATGAATGCGAGATAGAAGCTATCTCAGGAACTTGTTTATGATGCATCTAATCAACTAACAGTGTTGAACCTTTGTACTGACAGAGCAGTTTGAAACACTCTTTTTTTGGAATCTGCAAGTGGATATTTGGATCGCTTTGAGGATTTCGTTGGAAACGGGATGCAATATAAAACGTACACAGCAGCATACTCAGAAAATACTTTGCCATATTTCCATTCAAGTCACAGAGTGGAACATTCCCATTCATAGAGCAGGTTGGAAACACTCTTTTTGGAGTATCTGGAAGTGGACATTTGGAGCGCTTTCTGAACTATGGTGAAAAAGGAAATATCTTCCAATGAAAACAAGACAGAAGCATTCTGAGAAACTTATTTGTGATGTGTGTCCTCAACAAACGGACTTGAACCTTTCGTTTCATGCAGTACTTCTGGAACACTCTTTTTGAAGATTCTGCATGCGGATATTTGGATAGCTTTGAGGATTTCGTTGGAAACGGGCTTACATGTAAAAATTAGACAGCAGCATTCTCAGAAACTTCTTTGTGGTGTCTGCATTCAAGTCACAGAATTGAACTTCCCCTCACATAGAGCAGTTGTGCAGCACTCTATTTGTAGTATCTGGAAGTGGACATTCGGAGGGCTTTGTAGCCTATCTGGAAAAAGGAAATATCTTCCCATGAATGCGAGATAGAAGTAATCTCAGAAACATGTTTATGCTGTATCTACTCAACTAACTGTGCTGAACATTTCTATTGATAGAGCAGTTTTGAGACACTCTTCTTTTGGAATCTGCAAGTGGATATTTGGATAGATTTGAGGATTTCGTTGGAAACGGGATTATATATAAAAAGTAGACAGCAGCATTCTCAGAAACTTCTTTGTGATGTTTGCATCCAGCTCTCAGAGTTGAACATTCCCTTTCATAGAGTAGGTTTGAAACCCTCTTTTTATAGTGTCTGGAAGCGGGCATTTGGAGCGCTTTCAGGCCTATGCTGAAAAAGGAAATATCTACCTATAGAAACTAGACAGAAGCATTCTGAGAATCACGTTTGTGATGTGGGTACTCAACTAACAGTGTTGATCCATTCTTTTGATACAGAAGTTTTGAACCACACTTTTTGTAGAATCTGCAAGTGGATATTTGGATAGCTGTGAGGATTTCGTTGGAAACGGGAATGTCTTCATAGAAAATTTAGACGGAAGCATTCTCAGAACCTTGATTGTGATGTGTGTTCTCCACTAACAGAGTTGAACCTTTCTTTTGACAGAACTGTTCTGAAACATTCTTTTTATAGAATCTGGAAGTGGATATTTGGAAAGCTTTGAGGATTTCGTTGGAAACGGGAATATCTTCAAATAAAATCTAGCCAGAAGCATTCTAAGAAACATCTTAGGGATGTTTACATTCAAGTCACAGAGTTGAACATTCCCTTTCACAGAGCAGGTTTGAAACAATCTTCTCGTACTATCTGGCAGTGGACATTTTGAGCTCCTTGGGGCCTATGCTGAAAAAGGAAATATCTTCCGACAAAAACTAGACAGAAGCATTCGCAGAATCACGTTTGTGATGTGTGCACTCAACTGTCAGAATTGAACCTTGGTTTGGACAGAGCACTTTTGAAACACTCTTTTTGTAGAATCTGCAGGTGGATATTTGGCTAGCTTTGAGGATTTCGTTGGAAACGGTAATGTCTTCAAAGAAAATCTAGACAGAAGCATTCTCAGAAACACCTTCGTGATGTTTGCAATCAAGTCACAGAGTTGAACCTTCCGTTTCATAGAGCAGGTTGGAAACACTCTTTTTGTAGTATCTGGAAGTGGACATTTGGAGGGCTTTGTAGCCTATGTGGAAAAAGGAAATATCTTCCCATGAATGCGAGATAGAAGCTATCTCAGGAACTTGTTTATGATGCATCTAATCAACTAACAGTGTTGAACCTTTGTACTGACAGAGCAGTTTGAAACACTCTTTTTTTGGAATCTGCAAGTGGATATTTGGATCGCTTTGAGGATTTCGTTGGAAACGGGATGCAATATAAAACGTACACAGCAGCATACTCAGAAAATACTTTGCCATATTTCCATTCAAGTCACAGAGTGGAACATTCCCATTCATAGAGCAGGTTTGAAACACTCTTTTTGGAGTATCTGGAAGTGGACATTTGGAGCGCTTTCTGAACTATGGTGAAAAAGGAAATATCTTCCAATGAAAACAAGACAGAAGCATTCTGAGAAACTTATTTGTGATGTGTGTCCTCAACAAACGGACTTGAACCTTTCGTTTCATGCAGTACTTCTGGAACACTCTTTTTGAAGATTCTGCATGCGGATATTTGGATAACTTTGAGGATTTCGTTGGAAACGGGCTTACATATAAAAATTAGACAGCAGCATTCTCAGAAACTTCTTTGTGGTGTCTGCATTCAAGTCACAGAATTGAACTTCCCCTCACATAGAGCAGTTGTGCAGCACTCTATTTGTAGTATCTGGAAGTGGACATTTGGAGGGCTTTGTAGCCTATCTGGAAAAAGGAAATATCTTCCCATGAATGCGAGATAGAAGTAATCTCAGAAACATGTTTATGCTGTATCTACTCAACTAACTGTGCTGAACATTTCTATTGATAGAGCAGTTTTGAGACACTCTTCTTTTGGAATCTGCAAGTGGATATTTGGATAGATTTGAGGATTTCGTTGGAAACGGGATTATATATAAAAAGTAGACAGCAGCATTCTCAGAAACTTCTTTATGATGTTTGCATCCAGCTCTCAGAGTTGAACATTCCCTTTCGTAGAGTAGGTTTGAAACCCTCTTTTTATAGTGTCTGGAAGCGGGCATTTGGAGCGCTTTCAGGCCTATGCTGAAAAAGGAAATATCTACCTATAGAAAGTAGACAGAAGCATTCTGAGAATCACGTTTGTGATGTGGGTACTCAACTAACAGTGTTGATCCATTCTTTTGATACAGCAGTTTTGAACCACACTTTTTGTAGAATCTGCAAGAGGATATTTGGATAGCTGTGAGGATTTCGTTGGAAACGGGAATGTCTTCAAAGAAAATCTAGACAGAAGCATTCTCAGAAACACCTTCGTGATGTTTGCAATCAAGTCACAGAGTTGAACCTTCCGTTTCATAGAGCAGGTTGGAAACACTCTTATTGTAGTATCTGGAAGTGGACATTTGGAGCGCTTTCAGGCCTATGGTGAAAAAGGAAATATCTTCCCATAAAAACGACATAGAAGCTATCTCAGGAACTTGTTTATGATGCATCTAATCAACTAACAGTGTTGAACCTTTGTACTGACAGAGCAGTTTGAAACACTCTTTTTTTGGAATCTGCAAGTGGATATTTGGATCGCTTTGAGGATTTCGTTGGAAACGGGATGCAATATAAAACGTACACAGCAGCATACTCAGAAAATACTTTGCCATATTTCCATTCAAGTCACAGAGTGGAACATTCCCATTCATAGAGCAGGTTTGAAACACTCTTTTTGGAGTATCTGGAAGTGGACATTTGGAGCGCTTTCTGAACTATGGTGAAAAAGGAAATATCTTCCAATGAAAACAAGACAGAAGCATTCTGAGAAACTTATTTGTGATGCGTGTCCTCAACTAACGGACTCGAACCTTTCGTTTCATGCAGTACTTCTGGAACACTCTTTTTGAAGATTCTGCATGCGGATATTTGGTTAGCTTTGAGGATTTCGTTGGAAACGGGCTTACATATAAAAATTAGACAGCAGCATTCTCAGAAACTTCTTTGTGGTGTCTGCATTCAAGTCACAGAATTGAACTTCCCCTCACATAGAGCAGTTGTGCAGCACTCTATTTGTAGTATCTGGAAGTGGACATTTGGAGGGCTTTGTAGCCTATCTGGAAAAAGGAAATATCTTCCCATGAATGCGAGATAGAAGTAATCTCAGAAACATGTTTATGCTGTATCTACTCAACTAAATGTGCTGAACATTTCTATTGATAGAGCAGTTTTGAGACACTCTTCTTTTGGAATCTGCAAGTGGATATTTGGATAGATTTGAGGATTTCGTTGGAAACGGGATTATATATAAAAAGTAGACAGCAGCATTCTCAGAAACTTCTTTGTGATGTTTGCATCCAGCTCTCAGAGTTGAACATTCCCTTTCATAGAGTAGGTTTGAAACCCTCTTTTTATAGTGTCTGGAAGCGGGCATTTGGAGCGCTTTCAGACCTATGCTTAAAATAGGAAATATCTACCTACAGAAACTAGACAGAAGCATTCTGAGAATCTCGTTTGTGATGTGGGTACTCAACTAACAGTGTTGATCCATTCTTTTGATACAGCAGTTTTGAACCACACTTTTTGTAGAATCTGCAAGAGGATATTTGGATAGCTGTGAGGATTTCGTTGGAAACGGGAATGTCTTCAAAGAAAATCTAGACAGAAACATTCTCAGAAACACCTTCGTGATGTTTGCAATCAAGTCACAGAGTTGAACCTTCCGTTTCATAGAGCAGGTTGGAAACACTCTTATTGTAGTATCTGGAAGTGGACATTTGGAGCGCTTTCAGGCCTATGGTGAAAAAGGAAATATCTTCCCATAAAAACAACATAGAAGCTATCTCAGGAACTTGTTTATGATGCATCTAATCAACTAACAGTGTTGAACCTTTGTACTGACAGAGCAGTTTGAAACACTCTTTTTTTGGAATCTGCAAGTGGATATTTGGATCGCTTTGAGGATTTCGTTGGAAACGGGATGCAATATAAAACGTACACAGCAGCATACTCAGAAAATACTTTGCCATATTTCCATTCAAGTCACAGAGTGGAACATTCCCATTCATAGAGCAGGTTTGAAACACTCTTTTTGGAGTATCTGGAAGTGGACATTTGGAGCGCTTTCTGAACTATGGTGAAAAAGGAAATATCTTCCAATGAAAACAAGACAGAAGCATTCTGAGAAACTTATTTGTGATGTGTGTCCTCAACAAACGGACTTGAACCTTTCGTTTCATGCAGTACTTCTGGAACACTCTTTTTGAAGATTCTGCATGCGGATATTTGGATAGCTTTGAGGATTTCGTTGGAAACGGGCTTACATGTAAAAATTAGACAGCAGCATTCTCAGAAACTTCTTTGTGGTGTCTGCATTCAAGTCACAGAATTGAACTTCCCCTCACATAGAGCAGTTGTGCAGCACTCTATTTGTAGTATCTGGAAGTGGACATTTGGAGGGCTTTGTAGCCTATCTGGAAAAAGGAAATATCTTCCCATGAATGCGAGATAGAAGTAATCTCAGAAACATGTTTATGCTGTATCTACTCAACTAACTGTGCTGAACATTTCTATTGATAGAGCAGTTTTGAGACACTCTTCTTTTGGAATCTGCAAGTGGATATTTGGATAGATTTGAGGATTTCGTTGGAAACGGGATTATATATCAAAAGTAGACAGCAGCATTCTCAGAAACTTCTTTGTGATGTTTGCATCCAGCTCTCAGAGTTGAACATTCCCTTTCATAGAGTAGGTTTGAAACCCTCTTTTTATAGTGTCTGGAAGCGGGCATTTGGAGCGCTTTCAGGCCTATGCTTAAAATAGGAAATATCTACCTACAGAAACTAGACAGAAGCATTCTGAGAATCACGTTTGTGATGTGGGTACTCAACTAACAGTGTTGATCCATTCTTTTGATACAGCAGTTTTGAACCACACTTTTTGTAGAATCTGCAAGAGGATATTTGGATAGCTGTGAGGATTTCGTTGGAAACGGGAATGTCTTCAAAGAAAATCTAGACAGAAGCATTCTCAGAAACACCTTCGTGATGTTTGCAATCAAGTCACAGAGTTGAACCTTCCGTTTCATAGAGCAGGTTGGAAACACTCTTTTTGTAGTATCTGGAAGTGGACATCTGGAGCGCTTTCAGGCCTATGGTGAAAAAGGAAATATCTTCCCAGAAAAACGATATAGAAGCTATCTCAGGAACTTGTTTATGATGCATCTAATCAACTAACAGTGTTGAACCTTTGTACTGACAGAGCAGTTTGAAACACTCTTTTTTTGGAATCTGCAAGTGGATATTTGGATCGCTTTGAGGATTTCGTTGGAAACGGGATGCAATATAAAACGTACACAGCAGCATACTCAGAAAATACTTTGCCATATTTCCATTCAAGTCACAGAGTGGAACATTCCCATTCATAGAGCAGGTTGGAAACACTCTTTTTGGAGTATCTGGAAGTGGACATTTGGAGCGCTTTCTGAACTATGGTGAAAAAGGAAATATCTTCCAATGAAAACAAGACAGAAGCATTCTGAGAAACTTATTTGTGATGTGTGTCCTCAACAAACGGACTTGAACCTTTCGTTTCATGCAGTACTTCTGGAACACTCTTTTTGAAGATTCTGCATGCGGATATTTGGATAGCTTTGAGGATTTCGTTGGAAACGGGCTTACATGTAAAAATTAGACAGCAGCATTCTCAGAAACTTCTTTGTGGTGTCTGCATTCAAGTCACAGAATTGAACATCCCCTCACATAGAGCAGTTGTGCAGCACTCTATTTGTAGTATCTGGAAGTGGACATTTGGAGGGCTTTGTAGCCTATCTGGAAAAAGGAAATATCTTCCCATGAATGCGAGATAGAAGTAATCTCAGAAACATGTTTATGCTGTATCTACTCAACTAACTGTGCTGAACATTTCTATTGATAGAGCAGTTTTGAGACACTCTTCTTTTGGAATCTGCAAGTGGATATTTGGATAGATTTGAGGATTTCGTTGGAAACGGGATTATATATAAAAAGTAGACAGCAGCATTCTCAGAAACTTCTTTGTGATGTTTGCATCCAGCTCTCAGAGTTGAACATTCCCTTTCGTAGAGTAGGTTTGAAACCCTCTTTTTATAGTGTCTGGAAGCGGGCATTTGGAGCGCTTTCAGGCCTATGCTGAAAAAGGAAATATCTACCTATAGAAAGTAGACAGAAGCATTCTGAGAATCACGTTTGTGATGTGGGTACTCAACTAACAGTGTTGATCCATTCTTTTGATACAGCAGTTTTGAACCACACTTTTTGTAGAATCTGCAAGTGGATATTTGGATAGCTGTGAGGATTTCCTTGGAAACGGGAATGTCTTCATAGAAAATTTAGACAGAAGCATTCTCAGAACCTTGATTGTGATGTGTGTTCTCCACTAACAGGGTTGAACCTTTCTTTTGACAGAACTGTTCTGAAACATTCTTTGTATAGAATCTGGAAGTGGATATTTGGAAAGCTTTGAGGATTTCGTTGGAAACGGGAATATCTTCAAATCAAATCTAGCCAGAAAGCATTCTAAGAAACAACTTAGGGATGTTTACATTCAAGTCACAGAGTTGAACATTCCCTTTCACAGAGCAGGTTTGAAACAATCTTCTCGTACTATCTGGAAGTGGACATTTTGAGCTCCTTGGGGCCTATGCTGAAAAAGGAAATATCTTCCGACAAAAACTAGACAGAGCATTCGCAGAATCACGTTTGTGATGTGTGCACTCAACTGTCGGAATTGAACCTTTGTTTGGACAGAGCACTTTTGAAACACTCTTTTTGTAGAATCTGCAGGTGGATATTTGGCTAGCTTTGAGGATTTCGTTGGAAACGGTAATGTCTTCAAAGAAAATCTAGACAGAAACATTCTCAGAAACACCTTCGTGATGTTTGCAATCAAGTCACAGAGTTGAACCTTCCGTTTCATAGAGCAGGTTGGAAACACTCTTATTGTAGTATCTGGAAGTGGACATTTGGAGCGCTTTCAGGCCTATGGTGAAAAAGGAAATATCTTCCCATAAAAGCGACATAGAAGCTATCTCAGGAACTTGTTTATGATGCATCTAATCAACTAACAGTGTTGAACCTTTGTACTGACAGAGCAGTTTGAAACACTCTTTTTTTGGAATCTGCAAGTGGATATTTGGATCGCTTTGAGGATTTCGTTGGAAACGGGATGCAATATAAAACGTACACAGCAGCATACTCAGAAAATACTTTGCCATATTTCCATTCAAGTCACAGAGTGGAACATTCCCATTCATAGAGCAGGTTGGAAACACTCTTTTTGGAGTATCTGGAAGTGGACATTTGGAGCGCTTTCTGAACTATGGTGAAAAAGGAAATATCTTCCAATGAAAACAAGACAGAAGCATTCTGAGAAACTTATTTGTGATGTGTGTCCTCAACAAACGGACTTGAACCTTTCGTTTCATGCAGTACTTCTGGAACACTCTTTTTGAAGATTCTGCATGCGGATATTTGGATAGCTTTGAGGATTTCGTTGGAAACGGGCTTACATGTAAAAATTAGACAGCAGCATTCTCAGAAACTTCTATGTGGTGTCTGCATTCAAGTCACAGAATTGAACATCCCCTCACATAGAGCAGTTGTGCAGCACTCTATTTGTAGTATCTCGAAGTGGACATTTGGAGGGCTTTGTAGCCTATCTGGAAAAAGGAAATATCTTCCCATGAATGCGAGATAGAAGTAATCTCAGAAACATGTTTATGCTGTATCTACTCAACTAACTGTGCTGAACATTTCTATTGATAGAGCAGTTTTGAGACACTCTTCTTTTGGAATCTGCAAGTGGATATTTGGCTAGATTTGAGGATTTCGTTGGAAACGGGATTATATATCAAAAGTAGACAGCAGCATTCTCAGAAACTTCTTTGTGATGTTTGCATCCAGCTCTCAGAGTTGAACATTCCCTTTCATAGAGTAGGTTTGAAACCCCCTTTTTATAGTGTCTGGAAGCGGGCATTTGGAGCGCTCTCAGGCCTATGCTGAAAAAGGAAATATCTACCTACAGAAACTAGACAGAAGCATTCTGAGAATCACGTTTGTGATGTGGGTACTCAACTAACAGTGTTGATCCATTCTTTTGATACAGCAGTTTTGAACCACACTTTTTGTAGAATCTGCAAGTGGATATTTGGATAGCTGTGAGGATTTCGTTGGAAACGGGAATGTCTTCATAGAAAATTTAGACAGAAGCATTCTAAGAAACATCTTAGGGATGTGTACATTCAAGTCACAGAGTTGAACATTCCCCTTTCTCAGAGCAGGTTTGAAACAATCTTCTCGTACTATCTGGAAGTGGACATTTTGAGCTCCTTGGGGCCTATGCTGAAAAAGGAAATATCTTCCGACAAAAAGTAGACAGAAGCATTCGCAGAATCACGTTTGTGATGTGTGCACTCAACTGTCAGAATTGAACCTTTGTTTGGATAGAGCACTTTTGAAACACTCTTTTTGTAGAATCCGCAGGTGGATATTTGACTAGCTTTGAGGATTTCGTTGGAAACGGTAATGTCTTCAAAGAAAATCTAGACAGAAACATTCTCAGAAACACCTTCGTGATGTTTGCAATAAAGTCACAGAGTTGAACCTTCCGTTTCGTAGAGCAGGTTGGAAACACTCTTTTTGTAGTATCTGGAAGTGGACATTTGGAGTGCTTGCAGGCCTATGGTGAAGAAGGAAATATCTTCCCATAAAAACGATATAGAAACTATCTCAGGAACTTGTTTATGATGCATCCAATCAACTAACAGTGTTGAACCTTTGTACTGACAGAGCAGTGTGAAACACTCTATTTTTGGAATCTGCAAGTGGATATTTGGATCGCTTTGAGGATTTCGTTGGATACGGGATGCAATATAAAACATACACAGCAGCATACTCAGAAAATACTTTGCCATATTTCCATTCAAGTCACAGAGTGGAACATTCCCATTCATAGAGCAGGTTTGACACACTCTTTTTGTAGTATCTGGAAGTGGACATTTGGAGCGCTTTCTGAACTATGGTGAAAAAGGAAATATCTTCCAATGAAAACAAGACAGAAGCATTCTGAGAAACTTATTTGTGATGTGTGTCCTCAACTAACGGACTTGAACCTTTCGTTTCATGCAGTACTTCTGGAACACTCTTTTTGAAGATTCTGCATGCGGATATTTGGATAGCTTTGAGGATTTCGTTGGAAACGGGCTTACATATAAAAATTAGACAGCAGCATTCTCAGAAACTTCTCTGTGGTGTCTGCATCCAAGCCACAGAATTGAACATCCCCTCACATAGAGCAGTTGTGCAGCACTCTATTTGTAGTATCTGGAAGTGGACATTTGGAGGGCTTTGTAGCCTATCTGGAAAAAGGAAATATCTTCCCATGAATGCGAGATAGAAGTAATCTCAGAAACATGTTTATGCTGTATCTACTCAACTAACTGTGCTGAACATTTCTATTAATAGAGCAGTTTTGAGACACTCTTCTTTTGGAATCTGCACGTGGATATTTGGATAGATTTGAGGATTTCGTTGGGAACTGGATTATATATAAAAAGTAGACCGCCAGCATTCTCAGAAACTTCTTTGTGATGTTTGCATCCAGCTCTCAGAGTTGAACATTCCCTTTCATAGAGTAGGTTTGAAACCCTCTTTTTATAGTGTCTGGAAGCGGGCATTTGGAGCGCTTTCAGGCCTATGCTGAAAAAGGAAATATCTACCTATAGAAACTAGACAGAGCATTCTGAGAATCACGTTTGTGATGTGGGTACTCAACTAACAGTGTTGATCCATTCTTTTGATACAGCAGTTTTGAACCACACTTTTTGTAGAATCTGCAAGAGGATATTTGGATAGCTGTGAGGATTTCGTTGGAAACGGGAATGTCTTCAAAGAAAATCTAGACAGAAACATTCTCAGAAACACCTTCGTGATGTTTGCAATCAAGTCACAGAGTTGAACCTTCCGTTTCATAGAGCAGGTTGGAAACACTCTTTTTGTAGTATCTGGAAGTGGACATTTGGAGCGCTTTCAGGCCTATGGTGAAAAAGGAAATATCTTCCCATAAAAACGACATAGAAGCTATCTCAGGAACTTGTTTATGATGCATCTAATCAACTAACAGTGTTGAACCTTTGTACTGACAGAGCAGTTTGAAACACTCTTTTTTTGGAATCTGCAAGTGGATATTTGGATCGCTTTGAGGATTTCGTTGGAAACGGGATGCAATATAAAACGTACACAGCAGCATACTCAGAAAATACTTTGCCATATTTCCATTCAAGTCACAGAGTGGAACATTCCCATTCATAGAGCAGGTTGGAAACACTCTTTTTGGAGTATCTGGAAGTGGACATTTGGAGCGCTTTCTGAACTATGGTGAAAAAGGAAATATCTTCCAATGAAAACAACACAGAAGCATTCTGAGAAACTTATTTGTGATGTGTGTCCTCAACAAACGGACTTGAACCTTTCGTTTCATGCAGTACTTCTGGAACACTCTTTTTGAAGATTCTGCATGCGGATATTTGGATAGCTTTGAGGATTTCGTTGGAAACGGGCTTACATGTAAAAATTAGACAGCAGCATTCTCAGAAACTTCTTTGTGGTGTCTGCATTCAAGTCACAGAATTGAACATCCCCTCACATAGAGCAGCTGTGCAGCACTCTATTTGTAGTATCTCGAAGTGGACATTTGGAGGGCTTTGTAGCCTATCTGGAAAAAGGAAATATCTTCCCATGAATGCGAGATAGAAGTAATCTCAGAAACATGTTTATGCTGTATCTACTCAACTAACTGTGCTGAACATTTCTATTGATAGAGCAGTTTTGAGACACTCTTCTTTTGGAATCTGCAAGTGGATATTTGGATAGATTTGAGGATTTCGTTGGAAACGGGATTATATATAAAAAGTAGACAGCAGCATTCTCAGAAACTTCTTTGTGATGTTTGCATCCAGCTCTCAGAGTTGAGCATTCCCTTTCATAGAGTAGGTTTGAAACCCTCTTTTTATAGTGTCTGGAAGCGGGCATTTGGAGCGCTTTCAGGCCTATGCTTAAAATAGGAAATATCTACCTACAGAAACTAGACAGAAGCATTCTGAGAATCACGTTTGTGATGTGGGTACTCAACTAACAGTGTTGATCCATTCTTTTGATACAGCAGTTTTGAACCACACTTTTTGTAGAATCTGCAAGAGGATATTTGGATAGCTGTGAGGATTTCGTTGGAAACGGGAATGTCTTCAAAGAAAATCTAGACAGAAGCATTCTCAGAACCTTGATTGTGATGTGTGTTCTCCACTAACAGAGTTGAACCTTTCTTTTGACAGAACTGTTCTGAAACATTCTTTTTATAGAATCTGGAAGTGGATATTTGGAAAGCTTTGAGGATTTCGTTGGAAACGGGAATATCTTCAAATAAAATCTAGCCAGAAGCATTCTAAGAAACATCTTAGGGATGTTTACATTCAAGTCACAGAGTTGAACATTCCCTTTCACAGAGCAGGTTTGAAACAATCTTCTCGTACTATCTGGCAGTGGACATTTTGAGCTCCTTGGGGCCTATGCTGAAAAAGGAAATATCTTCCGACAAAAACTAGACAGAAGCATTCGCAGAATCACGTTTGTGATGTGTGCACTCAACTGTCAGAATTGAACCTTGGTTTGGACAGAGCACTTTTGAAACACTCTTTTTGTAGAATCTGCAGGTGGATATTTGGCTAGCTTTGAGGATTTCGTTGGAAACGGTAATGTCTTCAAAGAAAATCTAGACAGAAGCATTCTCAGAAACACCTTCGTGATGTTTGCAATCAAGTCACAGAGTTGAACCTTCCGTTTCATAGAGCAGGTTGGAAACACTCTTATTGTAGTATCTGGAAGTGGACATTTGGAGCGCTTTCAGGCCTATGGTGAAAAAGGAAATATCTTCCCATAAAAACGACATAGAAGCTATCTCAGGAACTTGTTTATGATGCATCCAATCAACTAACAGTGTTGAACTTTGTACTGACAGAGCAGTGTGAAACACTCTTTTTTTTGGAATCTGCAAGTGGATATTTGGATCGCTTTGAGGATTTCGTTGGAAACGGGATGTAATATAAAACGTACACAGCAGCATACTCAGAAAATACTTTGCCATATTTCCATTCAAGTCACAGAGTGGAACATTCCCATTCATAGAGCAGGTTTGAAACACTCTTTTTGGAGTATCTGGAAGTGGACATTTGGAGCGCTTTCTGAACTATGGTGAAAAAGGAAATATCTTCCAATGAAAACAAGACAGAAGCATTCTGAGAAACTTCTTTGTGATGTGTGTCCTCAACAAACGGACTTGAACCTTTCGTTTCATGCAGTACTTCTGGAACACTCTTTTTGAAGATTCTGCATGCGGATATTTGGATAGCTTTGAGGATTTCGTTGGAAACGGGCTTACATGTAAAAATTAGACAGCAGCATTCTCAGAAACTTCTTTGTGGTGTCTGCATTCAAGTCACAGAATTGAACTTCCCCTCACATAGAGCAGTTGTGCAGCACTCTATTTGTAGTATCTGGAAGTGGACATTTGGAGGGCTTTGTAGCCTATCTGGAAAAAGGAAATATCTTCCCATGAATGCGAGATAGATGTAATCTCAGAAACATGTTTATGCTGTATCTACTCAACTAACTGTGCTGAACATTTCTATTGATAGAGCAGTTTTGAGACACTCTTCTTTTGGAATCTGCAAGTGGATATTTGGATAGATTTGAGGATTTCGTTGGAAACGGGATTATATATAAAAAGTAGACAGCCGCATACTCAGAAACTTCTTTGTGATGTTTGCATCCAGCTCTCAGGGTTGAACATTCCCTTTCATAGAGTAGGTTTGAAACCCTCTTTTTATAGTGTGTGGAAGCGGGCATTTGGAGCGCTTTCAGGCCTATGCTGAAAAAGGAAATATCTACCTATAGAAACTAGACAGAAGCATTCTGAGAATCACGTTTGTGATGTGGGTACTCAACTAACAGTGTTGATCCATTCTTTTGATACAGCAGTTTTGAACCACACTTTTTGTAGAATCTGCAAGAGGATATTTGGATAGCTGTGAGGATTTCGTTGGAAACGGGAATGTCTTCAAAGAAAATCTAGACAGAAGCATTCTCAGAAACACCTTCGTGATGTTTGCAATCAAGTCACAGAGTTGAACCTTCCGTTTCATAGAGCAGGTTGGAAACACTCTTATTGTAGTATCTGGAAGTGGACATTTGGAGCGCTTTCAGGCCTATGGTGAAAAAGGAAATATCTTCCCATAAAAACGACATAGAAGCTATCTCAGGAACTTGTTTATGATGCATCTAATCAACTAACAGTGTTGAACCTTTGTACTGACAGAGCAGTTTGAAACACTCTTTTTTTGGAATCTGCAAGTGGATATTTGGATCGCTTTGAGGATTTCGTTGGAAACGGGATGCAATATAAAACGTACACAGCAGCATACTCAGAAAATTCTTTGCCATATTTCCATTCAAGTCACAGAGTGGAACATTCCCATTCATAGAGCAGGTTGGAAACACTCTTTTTGGAGTATCTGGAAGTGGACATTTGGAGCGCTTTCTGAACTATGGTGAAAAAGGAAATATCTTCCAATGAAAACAAGACAGAAGCATTCTGAGAAACTTATTTGTGATGTGTGTCCTCAACAAACGGACTTGAACCTTTCGTTTCATGCAGTACTTCTGGAACACTCTTTTTGAAGATTCTGCATGCGGATATTTGGATAGCTTTGAGGATTTCGTTGGAAACGGGCTTACATGTAAAAATTAGACAGCAGCATTCTCAGAAACTTCTTTGTGGTGTCTGCATTCAAGTCACAGAATTGAACTTCCCCTCACATAGAGCAGTTGTGCAGCACTCTATTTGTAGTATCTGGAAGTGGACATTTGGAGGGCTTTGTAGCCTATCTGGAAAAAGGAAATATCTTCCCATGAATGCGAGATAGAAGTAATCTCAGAAACATGTTTATGCTGTATCTACTCAACTAACTGTGCTGAACATTTCTATTGATAGAGCAGTTTTGAGACACTCTTCTTTTGGAATCTGCAAGTGGATATTTGGATAGATTTGAGGATTTCGTTGGAAACGGGATTATATATAAAAAGTAGACAGCAGCATTCTCAGAAACTTCTTTGTGATGTTTGCATCCAGCTCTCAGAGTTGAACATTCCCTTTCATAGAGTAGGTTTGAAACCCTCTTTTTATAGTGTCTGGAAGCGGGCATTTGGAGCGATTTCAGGCCTATGCGGAAAAAGGAAATATCTACCTATAGAAACTAGACAGAAGCATTCTGAGAATCAAGTTTGTGATGTGGGTACTCAACTAACAGTGTTGATCCATTCTTTTGATACAGCAGTTTTGAACCACACTTTTTGTAGAATCTGCAAGTGGATATTTGGATAGCTGTGAGGATTTCGTTGGAAACGGGAATGTCTTCATAGAAAATTTAGACAGAAGCATTCTCAGAACCTTGATTGTGATGTGTGTTCTCCACTAACAGAGTTGAACCTTTCTTTTGACAGAACTGTTCTGAAACATTCTTTTTATAGAATCTGGAAGTGGATATTTGGAAAGCTTTGAGGATTTCGTTGGAAACGGGAATATCTTCAAATCAAATCTAGCCAGAAGCATTCTAAGAAACATCTTAGGGATGTTTACATTCAAGTCACAGAGTTGAACATTCCCTTTCACAGAGCAGGTTTGAAACAATCTTCTCGTACTATCTGGCAGTGGACATTTTGAGCTCCTTGGGGCCTATGCTGAAAAAGGAAATATCTTCCGACAAAAACTAGACAGAAGCATTCGCAGAATCACGTTTGTGATGTGTGCACTCAACTGTCAGAATTGAACCTTGGTTTGGACAGAGCACTTTTGAAACACTCTTTTTGTAGAATCTGCAGGTGGATATTTGGCTAGCTTTGAGGATTTCGTTGGAAACGGTAATGTCTTCAAAGAAAATCTAGACAGAAGCATTCTCAGAAACACCTTCGTGATGTTTGCAATCAAGTCACAGAGTTGAACCTTCCGTTTCATAGAGCAGGTTGGAAACACTCTTATTGTAGTATCTGGAAGTGGACATTTGGAGCGCTTTCAGGCCTATGGTGAAAAAGGAAATATCTTCCCATAAAAACGACATAGAAGCTACCTCAGGAACTTGTTTATGATGCATCTAATCAACTAACAGTGTTGAACCTTTGTACTGACAGAGCAGTTTGAAACACTCTTTTTTTGGAATCTGCAAGTGGATATTTGGATCACTTTGAGGATTTCGTTGGAAACGGGATGCAATATAAAACGTACACAGCAGCATACTCAGAAAATATTTTGCCGTATTTCCATTCAAGTCACAGAGTGGAACATTCCCATTCATAGAGCAGGTTTGAAACACTCTTTTTGGAGTATCTGGAAGTGGACATTTGGAGCGCTTTCTGAACTATGGTGAAAAGGGAAATATGTTCCAATGAAAACAAGACAGAAGCATTCTGAGAAACTTATTTGTGATGCGTGTCCTCAACTAACGGACTCGAAGCTTTGGTTTCATGCAGTACTTCGGGAACACTCTTTTTGAAGATTCTGCATGCGGATATTTGGTTAGCTTTGAGGATTTCGTTGGAAACGGGCTTACATATAAAAATTAGACAGCAGCATTCTCAGAAACTTCTTTGTGGTGTCTGCATTCAAGTCACAGAATTGAACTTCCCCTCACATAGAGCAGTTGTGCAGCACTCTATTTGTAGTATCTGGAAGTGGACATTTGGAGGGCTTTGTAGCCTATCTGGAAAAAGGAAATATCTTCCCATGAATGCGAGATAGAAGTAATCTCAGAAACATGTTTATGCTGTATCTACTCAACTAACTGTGCTGAACATTTCTATTGATAGAGCAGTTTTGAGACACTCTTCTTTTGGAATCTGCAAGTAGATATTTGGATAGATTTGAGGATTTCGTTGGAAACTCGATTATATATAAAAAGTAGACAGCAGCATTCTCAGAAACTTCTTTGTGATGTTTGCATCCAGCTCTCAGAGTTGAACATTCCCTTTCATAGAGTAGGTTTGAAACCCTCTTTTTATAGTGTCTGCAAGCGGGCATTTGGAGCGCTTTCAGGCCTATGCTTAAAATAGGAAATATCTACCTACAGAAACTAGACAGAAGCATTCTGAGAATCTCGTTTGTGATGTGGGTACTCAACTAACAGTGTTGATCCATTCTTTTGATACAGCAGTTTTGAACCACACTTTTTGTAGAATCTGCAAGAGGATATTTGGATAGCTGTGAGGATTTCGTTGGAAACGGGAATGTCTTCAAAGAAAATCTAGACAGAAACATTCTCAGAAACACCTTCGTGATGTTTGCAATCAAGTCACAGAGTTGAACCTTCCGTTTCATAGAGCAGGTTGGAAACACTCTTATTGTAGTATCTGGAAGTGGACATTTGGAGCGCTTTCAGGCCTATGGTGAAAAAGGAAATATCTTCCCATAAAAGCGACATAGAAGCTATCTCAGGAACTTGTTTATGATGCATCTAATCAACTAACAGTGTTGAACCTTTGTACTGACAGAGCAGTTTGAAACACTCTTTTTTTGGAATCTGCAAGTGGATATTTGGATCGCTTTGAGGATTTCGTTGGAAACGGGATGCAATATAAAACGTACACAGCAGCATACTCAGAAAATACTTTGCCATATTTCCATTCAAGTCACAGAGTGGAACATTCCCATTCATAGAGCAGGTTGGAAACACTCTTTTTGGAGTATCTGGAAGTGGACATTTGGAGCGCTTTCTGAACTATGGTGAAAAAGGAAATATCTTCCAATGAAAACAAGACAGAAGCATTCTGAGAAACTTATTTGTGATGTGTGTCCTCAACAAACGGACTTGAACCTTTCGTTTCATGCAGTACTTCTGGAACACTCTTTTTGAAGATTCTGCATGCGGATATTTGGATAGCTTTGAGGATTTCGTTGGAAACGGGCTTACATGTAAAAATTAGACAGCAGCATTCTCAGAAACTTCTTTGTGGTGTCTGCATTCAAGTCACAGAATTGAACTTCCCCTCACATAGAGCAGTTGTGCAGCACTCTATTTGTAGTATCTCGAAGTGGACATTTGGAGGGCTTTGTAGCCTATCTGGAAAAAGGAAATATCTTCCCATGAATGCGAGATAGAAGTAATCTCAGAAACATGTTTATGCTGTATCTACTCAACTAACTGTGCTGAACATTTCTATTGATAGAGCAGTTTTGAGACACTCTTCTTTTGGAATCTGCAAGTGGATATTTGGATAGATTTGAGGATTTCGTTGGAAACGGGATTATATATAAAAAGTAGACAGCAGCATTCTCAGAAACTTCTTTGTGATGTTTGCATCCAGCTCTCAGAGTTGAGCATTCCCTTTCATAGAGTAGGTTTGAAACCCTCTTTTTATAGTGTCTGGAAGCAGGCATTTGGAGCGCTTTCAGGCCTATGCTTAAAATAGGAAATATCTACCTACAGAAACTAGACAGAAGCATTCTGAGAATCACGTTTGTGATGTGGGTACTCAACTAACAGTGTTGATCCATTCTTTTGATACAGCAGTTTTGAACCACACTTTTTGTAGAATCTGCAAGTGGATATTTGGATAGCTGTGAGGATTTCGTTGGAAACGGGAATGTCTTCATAGAAAATTTAGACAGAAGCATTCTCAGAACCTTGATTGTGATGTGTGTTCTCCACTAACAGAGTTGAACCTTTCTTTTGACAGAACTGTTCTGAAACATTCTTTTTATAGAATCTGGAAGTGGATATTTGGAAAGCTTTGAGGATTTCGTTGGAAACGGGAATATCTTCAAATCAAATCTAGCCAGAAGCATTCTAAGAAACATCTTAGGGATGTTTACATTCAAGTCACAGAGTTGAACATTCCCTTTCACAGAGCAGGTTTGAAACAATCTTCTCGTAGTATCTGGAAGTGGACATTTTGAGCTCCTTGGGGCCTATGCTGAAAAAGGAAATATCTTCCGACAAAAACTAGACAGAAGCATTCGCAGAATCACGTTTGTGATGTGTGCACTCAACTGTCAGAATTGAACCTTGGTTTGGACAGAGCACTTTTGAAACACTCTTTTTGTAGAATCTGCAGGTGGATATTTGGCTAGCTTTGAGGATTTCGTTGGAAACGGGAATGTCTTCAAAGAAAATCTAGACAGAAGCATTCTCAGAAACACCTTCGTGATGTTTGCAATCAAGTCACAGAGTTGAACCTTCCGTTTCATAGAGCAGGTTGGAAACACTCTTTTTGTAGTATCTGGAAGTGGACATTTGGAGCGCTTTCAGGCCTATGGTGAAAAAGGAAATATCTTCCCATAAAAACGACATAGAAGCTATCTCAGGAACTTGTTTATGATGCATCCAATCAACTAACAGTGTTGAACCTTTGTACTGACAGAGCAGTGTGAAACACTCTTTTTTTTGGAATCTGCAAGTGGATATTTGGATCGCTTTGAGGATTTCGTTGGAAACGGGATGCAATATAAAACGTACAGAGCAGCATACTCAGAAAATACTTTGCCATATTTCCATTCAAGTCACAGAGTGGAACATTCCCATTCATAGAGCAGGTTGGACACACTCCTTTTGTAGTATCTGGAAGTGGACATTTGGAGCGCTTTCTGAACTATGGTGAAAAAGGAAATATCTTCCAATGAAAACAAGACAGAAGCATTCTGAGAAACTTATTTGTGATGTGTGTCCTCAACTAACGGACTTGAACCTTTCGTTTCATGCAGTACTTCTGGAACACTCTTTTTGAAGATTCTGCATGCGGATATTTGGATAGCTTTGAGGATTTCGTTGGAAACGGGCTTACATATAAAAATTAGACAGCAGCATTCTCAGAAACTTCTTTGTGGTGTCTG
Organism: Homo sapiens; assembly: GCF_000001405.40. Taxonomy (NCBI): domain Eukaryota; kingdom Metazoa; phylum Chordata; class Mammalia; order Primates; family Hominidae; genus Homo; species Homo sapiens. Next base: position 45,716,335 of record NC_000008.11, read on the forward strand.
CATTCAAGTCACAGAATTGAACATCCCCTCACATAGACCAGCTGTGCAGCACTCTATTTGTAGTATCTCGAAGTGGACATTTGGAGGGCTTTGTAGCCTATCTGGAAAAAGGAAATATCTTCCCATGAATGCGAGATAGAAGTAATCTCAGAAACATGTTTATGCTGTATCTACTCAACTAACTGTGCTGAACATTTCTATTGATAGAGCAGGTTTGAGACACTCTTCTTTTGGAATCTGCAAGTGGATATTTGGATAGATTTGAGGATTTCCTTGGAAACGGGATTCTATATCAAAAGTAGACAGCAGCATTCTCAGAAACTTCTTTGTGATGTTTGCATCCAGCTCTCAGAGTTGAACATTCCCTTTCGTGGAGTAGGTTTGAAACCCTCTTTTTATAGTGTCTGGAAGCGGGCATTTGGAGCGCTTTCAGGCCTATGCTGAAAAAGGAAATATCTACCTATAGAAACTAGACAGAAGCATTCTGAGAATCACGTTTGTGATGTGGGTACTCAACTAACAGTGTTGATCCATTCTTTTGATACAGCAGTTTTGAACCACACTTTTTGTAGAATCTGCAAGTGGATATTTGGATAGCTGTGAGGATTTCCTTGGAAACGGGAATGTCTTCATAGAAAATTTAGACAGAAGCATTCTCAGAACCTTGATTGTGATGTGTGTTCTCCACTAACAGAGTTGAACCTTTCTTTTGACAGAACTGTTCTGAAACATTCTTTTTATAGAATCTGGAAGTGGATATTTGGAAAGCTTTGAGGATTTCGTTGGAAACGGGAATATCTTCAAATAAAATCTAGCCAGAAGCATTCTAAGAAACATCTTAGGGATGTTTACATTCAAGTCACAGAGTTGAACATTCCCTTTCACAGAGCAGGTTTGAAACAATCTTCTCGTACTATCTGGAAGTGGACATTTTGAGCTCCTTGGGGCCTATGCTGAAAAAGGAAATATCTTCCGACAAAAACTAGACAGAAGCATTCGCAGAATCACGTTTGTGATGTGTGCACTCAACTGTCAGAATTGAACCTTGGTTTGGACAGAGCACTTTTGAAACACTCTTTTTGTAGAATCTGCAGGTGGATATTTGGCTAGCTTTGAGGATTTCGTTGGAAACGGTAATGTCTTCAAAGAAAATCTAGACAGAAGCATTCTCAGAAACACCTTCGTGATGTTTGCAATCAAGTCACAGAGTTGAACCTTCCGTTTCATAGAGCAGGTTGGAAACACTCTTATTGTAGTATCTGGAAGTGGACATTTGGAGCGCTTTCAGGCCTATGGTGAAAAAGGAAATATCTTCCCATAAAAACGACATAGAAGCTGTCTCAGGAACTTGTTTATGATGCATCTAATCAACTAACAGTGTTGAACCTTTGTACTGACAGAGCAGTTTGAAACACTCTTTTTTTGGAATCTGCAAGTGGATATTTGGATCGCTTTGAGGATTTTGTTGGAAACGGGATGCAATATAAAACGTAAACAGCAGCATACTCAGAAAATACTTTGCCATATTTCCATTCAAGTCACAGAGTGGAACATTCCCATTCATAGAGCAGTTTGGAAACACTCTTTTTGGAGTATCTGGAAGTGGACATTTGGAGCGCTTTCTGAACTATGGTGAAAAAGGAAATATCTTCCAATGAAAACAAGACAGAAGCATTCTGAGAAACTTATTTGTGATGTGTGTCCTCAACAAACGGACTTGAACCTTTCGTTTCATGCAGTACTTCTGGAACACTCTTTTTGAAGATTCTGCATGCGGATATTTGGATAGCTTTGAGGATTTCGTTGGAAACGGGCTTACATGTAAAAATTAGACAGCAGCATTCTCAGAAACTTCTTTGTGGTGTCTGCATTCAAGTCACAGAATTGAACTTCCCCTCACATAGAGCAGTTGTGCAGCACTCTATTTGTAGTATCTGGAAGTGGACATTTGGAGGGCTTTGTAGCCTATCTGGAAAAAGGAAATATCTTCCCATGAATGCGAGATAGAAGTAATCTCAGAAACATGTTTATGCTGTATCTACTCAACTAACTGTGCTGAACATTTCTATTGATAGAGCAGTTTTGAGACACTCTTCTTTTGGAATCTGCAAGTGGATATTTGGATAGATTTGAGGATTTCGTTGGAAACGGGATTATATATCAAAAGTAGACAGCAGCATTCTCAGAAACTTCTTTGTGATGTTTGCATCCAGCTCTCAGAGTTGAACATTCCCTTTCATAGAGTAGGTTTGAAACCCCCTTTTTATAGTGTCTGGAAGCGGGCATTTGGAGCGCTTTCAGGCCTATGCTGAAAAAGGAAATATCTACCTACAGAAACTAGACAGAAGCATTCTGAGAATCACGTTTGTGATGTGGGTACTCAACTAACAGTGTTGATCCATTCTTTTGATACAGCAGTTTTGAACCACCCTTTTCGTAGAATCTGCAAGTGGATATTTGGATAGCTGTGAGGATTTCGTTGGAAACGGGAATGTCTTCATAGAAAATTTAGACAGAAGCATTCTCAGAACCTTGATTGTGATGTGTGTTCTCCACTAACAGAGTTGAACCTTTCTTTTGACAGAACTGTTCTGAAACATTCTTTTTATAGAATCTGGAAGTGGATATTTGGAAAGCTTTGAGGATTTCGTTGGAAACGGGAATATCTTCAAATAAAATCTAGCCAGAAAGCATTCTAAGAAACATCTTAGGGATGTTTACATTCAAGTCACAGAGTTGAACATTCCCTTTCACAGAGCAGGTTTGAAACAATCTTCTCGTACTATCTGGAAGTGGACATTTTGAGCTCCTTGGGGCCTATGCTGAGAAAGGAAATATCTTCCGACAAAAACTAGACAGAAGCATTCGCAGAATCACGTTTGTGATGTGTGCACTCAACTGTCAGAATTGAACCTTTGTTTGGACAGAGCACTTTTGAAACACTCTTTTTGTAGAATCTGCAGGTGGATATTTGACTAGCTTTGAGGATTTCGTTGGAAATGGTAATGTCTTCAAAGAAAATCTAGACAGAAACATTCTCAGAAACACCTTCGTGATGTTTGCAATCAAGTCACAGAGTTGAACCTTCCGTTTCATAGAGCAGGTTGGAAACACTCTTTTTGTAGTATCTGGAAGTGGACATTTGGAGCGCTTTCAGGCCTATGGTGAAGAAGGAAATATCTTCCCATAAAAACGACATAGAAGCTATCTCAGGAACTTGTTTATGATGCATCTAATCAACTAACAGTGTTGAACCTTTGTACTGACAGAGCAGTTTGAAACACTCTTTTTTTGGAATCTGCAAGTGGATATTTGGATCGCTTTGAGGATTTCGTTGGAAACGGGATGCAATATAAAACGTACACAGCAGCATACTCAGAAAATACTTTGCCATATTTCCATTCAAGTCACAGAGTGGAACATTCCCATTCATAGAGCAGGTTGGAAACACTCTTTTTGGAGTATCTGGAAGTGGACATTTGGAGCGCTTTCTGAACTATGGTGAAAAAGGAAATATCTTCCAATGAAAACAAGACAGAAGCATTCTGAGAAACTTATTTGTGATGTGTGTCCTCAACAAACGGACTTGAACCTTTCGTTTCATGCAGTACTTCTGGAACACTCTTTTTGAAGATTCTGCATGCGGATATTTGGATAGCTTTGAGGATTTCGTTGGAAACGGGCTTACATGTAAAAATTAGACAGCAGCATTCTCAGAAACTTCTTTGTGGTGTCTGCATTCAAGTCACAGCAATTGAACATCCCCTCACATAGAGCAGTTGTGCAGCACTCTATTTGTAGTATCTGGAAGTGGACATTTGGAGGGCTTTGTAGCCTATCTGGAAAAAGGAAATATCTTCCCATGAATGCGAGATAGAAGTAATCTCAGAAACATGTTTATGCTGTATCTACTCAACTAACTGTGCTGAACATTTCTATTGATAGAGCAGTTTTGAGACACTCTTCTTTTGGAATCTGCAAGTGGATATTTGGATAGATTTGAGGATTTCGTTGGAAACGGGATTATATATAAAAAGTAGACAGCAGCATTCTCAGAAACTTCTTTGTGATGTTTGCATCCAGCTCTCAGAGTTGAACATTCCCTTTCATAGAGTAGGTTTGAAACCCTCTTTTTATAGTGTCTGGAAGCGGGCATTTGGAGCGCTTTCAGGCCTATGCTGAAAAAGGAAATATCTACCTATAGAAACTAGACAGAAGCATTCTGAGAATCACGTTTGTGATGTGGGTACTCAACTAACAGTGTTGATCCATTCTTTTGATACAGCAGTTTTGAACCACACTTTTTGTAGAATCTGCAAGTGGATATTTGGATAGCTGTGAGGATTTCGTTGGAAACGGGAATGTCTTCATAGAAAATTTAGACAGAAGCATTCTCAGAACCTTGATTGTGATGTGTGTTCTCCACTAACAGGGTTGAACCTTTCTTTTGACAGAACTGTTTTGAAACATTCTTTTTATAGAATCTGGAAGTGGATATTTGGAAAGCTTTGAGGATTTCGTTGGAAACGGGAATATCTTCAAATCAAATCTAGCCAGAAGCATTCTAAGAAACATCTTAGGGATGTTTACATTCAAGTCACAGAGTTGAACATTCCCTTTCACAGAGCAGGTTTGAAACAATCTTCTCGTACTATCTGGAAGTGGACATTTTGAGCTCCTTTTGGCGTATGCTGAAAAAGGAAATACCTTCCGACAAAAACTAGACAGAAGCATTCGCAGAATCACGTTTGTGATGTGTGCACTCAACTGTCAGAATTGAACCTTGGTTTGGACAGAGCACTTTTGAAACACTCTTTTTGTAGAATCTGCAGGTGGATATTTGGCTAGCTTTGAGGATTTCGTTGGAAACGGTAATGTCTTCAAAGAAAATCTAGACAGAAACATCCTCTGAAACACCTTCGTGATGTTTGCAATCAAGTCACAGAGTTGAACCTTCCGTTTCATGGAGCAGGTTTGAAACACTCATTTTGTAGTATCTGGAAGTGGACATTTGGAGCGCTTTCAGGCCTATGGTGTAAAAGGAAATATCTTCCCATAAAAGCGACATAGAAGCTATCTCAGGAACTTGTTTATGATGCATCTAATCAACTAACAGTGTTGAACCTTTGTACTGACAGAGCAGTTTGAAACACTCTTTTTTTGGAATCTGCAAGTGGATATTTGGATCGCTTTGAGGATTTCGTTGGAAACGGGATGCAATATCAAACGTACACAGCAGCATACTCAGAAAATACTTTGCCATATTTCCATTCAAGTCACAGAGTGGAACATTCCCATTCATAGAGCAGGTTTGAAACACTCTTTTTGGAGTATCTGGAAGTGGACATTTGGAGCGCTTTCTGAACTATGGTGAAAAAGGAAATATCTTCCAATGAAAACAAGACAGAAGCATTCTGAGAAACTTATTTGTGATGCGTGTCCTCAACTAACGTACTCAAACCTTTCGTTTCATGCAGTACTTCTGGAACACTCTTTTTGAAGATTCTGCATGCGGATATTTGGATACCTTTGAGGATTTCGTGGGAAACGGGCTTACATATAAAAATTAGACAGCAGCATTTTCAGAAACTTCTTTGTGGTGTCTGCATTCAAGTCACAGAATTGAACTTCCCCTCACATAGAGCAGTTGTGCAGCACTCTATTTGTAGTATCTGGAAGTGGACATTTGGAGGGCTTTGTAGCCTATCTGGAAAAAGGAAATATCTTCCCATGAATGCGAGATAGAAGTAATCTCAGAAACATGTTTATGCTGTATCTACTCAACTAACTGTGCTGAACATTTCTATTGATAGAGCAGTTTTGAGACACTCTTCTTTTGGAATCTGCAAGTGGATATTTGGATAGATTTGAGGATTTCGTTGGAAACGGGATTATATATCAAAAGCAGACAGCAGCATTCTCAGAAACTTCTTTGTGATGTTTGCATATAGCTCTCAGAGTTGAACACTCCCTTTCATAGAGTAGGTTTGAAACCCTCTTTTTATAGTGTCTGGAAGCGGGCATTTTGAGCGCTTTCAGGCCTATGCTTAAAATAGGAAATATCTACCTATAGAAACTAGACAGAAGCATTCTGAGAATCACGTTTGTGATGTGGGTACTCAACTAACAGTGTTGATCCATTCTTTTGATACAGCAGTTTTGAACCACACTTTTTGTAGAATCTGCAAGAGGATATTTGGATAGCTGTGAGGATTTCGTTGGAAACGGGAATGTCTTCAAAGAAAATCTAGACAGAAGCATTCTCAGAAACACCTTCATGATGTTTGCAATCAAGTCACAGAGTTGAACCTTCCGTTTCATAGAGCAGGTTGGAAACACTCTTTTTGTAGTATCTGGAAGTGGACATTTGGAGCGCTTTCAGGCCTATGGTGAAAAAGGAAATATCTTCCCATAAAAACGACATAGAATCTATATCAGGAACTTGTTTATGATGCATCTAATCAACTAACAGTGTTGAACCTTTGTACTGACAGAGCAGTTTGAAACACTCTTTTTTTGGAATCTGCAAGTGGATATTTGGATCGCTTTGAGGATTTCGTTGGAAACGGGATGCAATATAAAACGTACACAGCAGCATACTCAGAAAATTCTTTGCCATATTTCCATTCAAGTCACAGAGTGGAACATTCCCATTCATAGAGCAGGTTTGAAACACTCTTTTTGGAGTATCTGGAAGTGGACATTTGGAGCGCTTTCTGAACTATGGTGAAAAAGGAAATATCTTCCAATGAAAACAAGACAGAAGCATTCTGAGAAACTTATTTGTGATGTGTGTCCTCAACAAACGGACTTGAACCTTTCGTTTCATGCAGTACTTCTGGAACACTCTTTTTGAAGATTCTGCATGCGGATATTTGGATAGCTTTGAGGATTTCGTTGGAAACGGGCTTACATGTAAAAATTAGACAGCAGCATTCTCAGAAACTTCTTTGTGGTGTCTGCATTCAAGTCACAGAATTGAACATCCCCTCACATAGAGCAGTTGTGAAGCACTCTATTTGTAGTATCTCGAAGTGGACATTTGGAGGGCTTTGTAGCCTATCTGGAAAAAGGAAATATCTTTCCATGAATGCGAGATAGAAGTAATCTCAGAAACATGTTTATGCTGTATCTACTCAACTAACTGTGCTGAACATTTCTATTGATAGAGCAGTTTTGAGACACTCTTCTTTTGGAATCTGCAAGTGGATATTTGGCTAGATTTGAGGATTTCGTTGGAAACGGGATTATATATCAAAGGTAGACAGCAGCATTCTCAGAAACTTCTTTGTGATGTTTGCATCCAGCTCTCAGAGTTGAACATTCCCTTTCATAGAGTAGGTTTGAAACCCTCTTTTTATAGTGTCTGGAAGCGGGCATTTGGAGCGCTTTCAGGCCTATGCTGAAAAAGGAAATATCTACCTACAGAAACTAGACAGAAGCATTCTGAGAATCACGTTTGTGATGTGGGTACTCAACTAACAGTGTTGATCCATTCTTTTGATACAGCAGTTTTGAACCACACTTTTTGTAGAATCTGCAAGTGGATATTTGGATAGCTGTGAGGATTTCGTTGGAAACGGGAATGTCTTCATAGAAAATTTAGACAGAAGCATTCTCAGAACCTTGATTGTGATGTGTGTTCTCCACTAACAGAGTTGAACCTTTCTTTTGACAGAACTGTTCTGAAACATTCTTTTTATAGAATCTGGAAGTGGATATTTGGAAAGCTTTGAGGATTTCGTTGGAAACGGGAATATCTTCAAATAAAATCTAGCCAGAAGCATTCTAAGAAACATCTTAGGGATGTTTACATTCAAGTCACAGAGTTGAACATTCCCTTTCACAGAGCAGGTTTGAAACAATCTTCTCGTACTGTCTGGCAGTGGACATTTTGAGCTCCTTTGGGCCTATGCTGAAAAAGGAAATATCTTCCGACAAAAACTAGACAGAAGCATTCGCAGAATCACGTTTGTGATGTGTGCACTCACACTGTCAGAATTGAATCTTTGTTTGGACAGAGCACTTTTGAAACACTCTTTTTGTAGAATCTGCAGGTGGATATTTGGCTAGCTTTGAGGATTTCGTTGGAAACGGTAATGTCTTCAAAAAAAATCTAGACAGAAGCATTCTCAGAAACACCTTCGTGATGTTTGCAATCAAGTCACAGAGTTGAACCTTCCGTTTCATAGAGCAGGTTGGAAACACTCTTATTGTAGTATCTGGAAGTGGACATTTGGAGCGCTTTCAGGCCTATGGTGAAAAAGGAAATATCTTCCCATAAAAACGACATAGAAGCTATCTCAGGAACTTGTTTATGATGCATCCAATCAACTAACAGTGTTGAACCTTTGTACTGACAGAGCAGTGTGAAACACTCTTTTTTTTGGAATCTGCAAGTGGATATTTGGATCGCTTTGAGGATTTCGTTGGAAACGGGATGCAATATAAAACGTACACAGCAGCATACTCAGAAAATACTTTGCCATATTTCCATTCAAGTCACAGAGTGGAACATTCCCATTCATAGAGCAGGTTTGAAACACTCTTTTTGGAGTATCTGGAAGTGGACATTTGGAGCGCTTTCTGAACTATGGTGAAAAAGGAAATATCTTCCAATGAAAACAAGACAGAAGCATTCTGAGAAACTTATTTGTGATGTGTGTCCTCAACAAACGGACTTGAACCTTTCGTTTCATGCAGTACTTCTGGAACACTCTTTTTGAAGATTCTGCATGCGGATATTTGGATAGCTTTGAGGATTTCGTTGGAAACGGGCTTACATGTAAAAATTAGACAGCCAGCATTCTCAGAAACTTCTTTGTGGTGTCTGCATTCAAGTCACAGAATTGAACATCCCCTCACATAGAGCAGTTGTGCAGCACTCTATTTGTAGTATCTGGAAGTGGACATTTGGAGGGCTTTGTAGCCTATCTGGAAAAAGGAAATATCTTCCCATGAATGCGAGATAGAGTAATCTCAGAAACATGTTTATGCTGTATCTACTCAACTAACTGTGCTGAACATTTCTATTGATAGAGCAGTTTTCAGACACTCTTCTTTTGGAATCTGCAAGTGGATATTTGGATAGATTTGAGGATTTCGTTGGAAACGGGATTATATATAAAAAGTAGACAGCAGCATTCTCAGAAACTTCTTTGTGATGTTTGCATCCAGCTCTCAGAGTTGAACATTCCCTTTCATAGAGTAGGTTTGAAACCCTCTTTTTATAGTGTCTGGAAGCGGGCATTTGGAGCGCTTTCAGGCCTATGCTTAAAATAGGAAATATCTACCTACAGAAACTAGACAGAAGCATTCTGAGAATCACGTTTGTGATGTGGGTACTCAACTAACAGTGTTGATCCATTCTTTTGATACAGCAGTTTTGAACCACACTTTTTGTAGAATCTGCAAGAGGATATTTGGATAGCTGTGAGGATTTCGTTGGAAACGGGAATGTCTTCAAAGAAAATCTAGACAGAAGCATTCTCAGAAACACCTTCGTGATGTTTGCAATCAAGTCACAGAGTTGAACCTTCCGTTTCATAGAGCAGGTTGGAAACACTCTTATTGTAGTATCTGGAAGTGGACATTTGGAGCGCTTTCAGGCCTATGGTGAAAAAGAAATATCTTCCCATAAAAACGACATAGAAGCTATCTCAGGAACTTGTTTATGATGCATCTAATCAACTAACAGTGTTGAACATTTGTACTGACAGAGCAGTTTGAAACACTCTTTTTTTGGAATCTGCAAGTGGATATTTGGATCACTTTGAGGATTTCGTTGGAAACGGGATGCAATATAAAACGTACACAGCAGCATACTCAGAAAATACTTTGCCATATTTCCATTCAAGTCACAGAGTGGAACATTCCCATTCATAGAGCAGGTTTGAAACACTCTTTTTGTAGTATCTGGAAGTGGACATTTGGAGCGCTTTCTGAACTATGGTGAAAAAGGAAATATCTTCCAATGAAAACAAGACAGAAGCATTCTGAGAAACTTATTTGTGATGTGTGTCCTCAACTAACGGACTTGAACCTTTCGTTTCATGCAGTACTTCTGGAACACTCTTTTTGAAGATTCTGCATGCGGATATTTGGATAGCTTTGAGGATTTCGTTGGAAACGGGCTTACATATAAAAATTAGACAGCAGCATTCTCAGAAACTTCTTTGTGGTGTCTGCATTCAAGTCACAGAATTGAACTTCCCCTCACATAGAGCAGTTGTGCAGCACTCTATTTGTAGTATCTCGAAGTGGACATTTGGAGGGCTTTGTAGCCTATCCTGGAAAAAGGAAATATCTTCCCATGAATGCGAGATAGAAGTAATCTCAGAAACATGTTTATGCTGTATCTACTCAACTAACTGTGCTGAACATTTCTATTGATAGAGCAGTTTTCAGACACTCTTCTTTTGGAATCTGCAAGTGGATATTTGGATAGATTTGAGGATTTCGTTGGAAACGGGATTATATATAAAAAGTAGACAGCAGCATTCTCAGACACTTCTTTGTGATGTTTGCATCCAGCTCTCAGAGTTGAACATTCCCTTTCATAGAGTAGGTTTGAAACCCTCTTTTTATAGTGTCTGGAAGCGGGCATTTGGAGCGCTTTCAGGCCTATGCTTAAAATAGGAAATATCTACCTACAGAAACTAGACAGAAGCATTCTGAGAATCACGTTTGTGATGTGGGTACTCAACTAACAGTGTTGATCCATTCTTTTGATACAGCAGTTTTGAACCACACTTTTTGTAGAATCTGCAAGAGGATATTTGGATAGCTGTGAGGATTTCGTTGGAAACGGGAATGTCTTCAAAGAAAATCTAGACAGAAGCATTCTCAGAAACACCTTCGTGATGTTTGCAATCAAGTCACAGAGTTGAACCTTCCGTTTCATAGAGCAGGTTGGAAACACTCTTATTGTAGTATCTGGAAGTGGACATTTGGAGCGCTTTCAGGCCTATGGTGAAAAAGGAAATATCTTCCCATAAAAACGACATAGAAGGTATCTCAGGAACTTGTTTATGATGCATCTAATCAACTAACAGTGTTGAACCTTTGTACTGACAGAGCAGTTTGAAACACTCTTTTTTTGGAATCTGCAAGTGGATATTTGGATCGCTTTGAGGATTTCGTTGGAAACGGGATGCAATATAAAACGTACACAGCAGCATACTCAGAAAATACTTTGCCATATTTCCATTCAAGTCACAGAGTGGAACATTCCCATTCATAGAGCAGGTTGGAAACACTCTTTTTGGAGTATCTGGAAGTGGACATTTGGAGCGCTTTCTGAACTATGGTGAAAAAGGAAATATCTTCCAATGAAAACAAGACAGAAGCATTCTGAGAAACTTATTTGTGATGTGTGTCCTCAACTAACGGACTTGAACCTTTCGTTTCATGCAGTACTTCTGGAACACTCTTTTTGAAGATTCTGCATGCGGATATTTGGATAGCTTTGAGGATTTCGTTGGAAACGGGCTTACATATAAAAATTAGACAGCAGCATTCTCAGAAACTTCTCTGTGGTGTCTGCATCCAAGTCACAGAATTGAACATCCCCTCACATAGAGCAGTTGTGCAGCACTCTATTTGTAGTATCTCGAAGTGGACATTTGGAGGGCTTTGTAGCCTATCTGGAAAAAGGAAATATCTTCCCATGAATGCGAGATAGAAGTAATCTCAGAAACATGTTTATGCTGTATCTACTCAACTAACTGTGCTGAACATTTCTATTGATAGAGCAGTTTTGAGACACTCTTCTTTTGGAATCTGCAAGTGGATATTTGGAGAGATTTGAGGATTTCGTTGGAAACGGGATTATATATAAAAAGTAGACAGCAGCATTCTCAGAAACTTCTTTGTGATGTTTGCATCCAGCTCTCAGAGTTGAACATTCCCTTTCATAGAGTAGGTTTGAAACCCTCTTTTTATAGTGTCTGGAAGCGGGCATTTGGAGCGCTTTCAGGCCTATGCTTAAAATAGGAAATATCTACCTACAGAAACTAGACAGAAGCATTCTGAGAATCACGTTTGTGATGTGGGTACTCAACTAACAGTGTTGATCCATTCTTTTGATACAGCAGTTTTGAACCACACTTTTTGTAGAATCTGCAAGTGGATATTTGGATAGCTGTGAGGATTTCGTTGGAAACGGGAATGTCTTCATAGAAAATTTAGACAGAAGCATTCTCAGAACCTTGATTGTGATGTGTGTTCTCCACTAACAGAGTTGAACCTTTCTTTAGACAGAACTGTTGTGAAACATTCTTTTTATAGAATCTGGAAGTGGATATTTGGAAAGCTTTGAGGATTTCATTGGAAACGGGAATATCTTCAAATAAAATCTAGCCAGAAGCATTCTAAGAAACATCTTAGGGATGTTTACATTCAAGTCACAGAGTTGAACATTCCCTTTCACAGAGCAGGTTTGAAACAATCTTCTCGTACTATCTGGCAGTGGACATTTTGAGCTCCTTTGGGCCTATGCTGAAAAAGGAAATATCTTCCGACAAAAACTAGACAGAAGCATTCGCAGAATCACGTTTGTGATGTGTGCACTCAACTGTCAGAATTGAACCTTGGTTTGGACAGAGCACTTTTGAAACAATCTTTTTGTAGAATCTGCAGGTGGATATTTGGCTAGCTTTGAGGATTTCGTTGGAAACGGTAATGTCTTCAAAGAAAATCTAGACAGAAACATTCTCAGAAACACCTTCGTGATGTTTGCAATCAAGTCACAGAGTTGAACCTTCCGTTTCGTAGAGCAGGTTGGAAACACTCTTTTTGTAGTATCTGGAAGTGGACATTTGGAGCGCTTTCAGGCCTATGGTGAAGAAGGAAATATCTTACCATAAAAACGACATAGAAGCTATCTCAGGAACTTGTTTATGATGCATCTAATCAACTAACAGTGTTGAACCTTTGTACTGACAGAGCAGTTTGAAACACTCTTTTTTTGGAATCTGCAAGTGGATATTTGGATCGCTTTGAGGATTTCGTTGGAAACGGGATGCAATATAAAACGTACACAGCAGAATCCTCAGAAAATACTTTGCCATATTTCCATTCAAGTCACAGAGTGGAACTTTCCCATTCATAGAGCAGGTTGGAAACACTCTTTTTGGAGTATCTGGAAGTGGACATTTGGAGCGCTTTCTGAACTATGGTGAAAAAGGAAATATCTTCCAATGAAAACAAGACAGAAGCATTCTGAGTAAACTTCTTTGTGATGTGTGTCCTCAACAAACGGACTTGAACCTTTCGTTTCATGCAGTACTTCTGGAACACTCTTTTTGAAGATTCTGCATGCGGATATTTGGATAGCTTTGAGGATTTCGTTGGAAACGGGCTTACATGTAAAAATTAGACAGCAGCATTCTCAGAAACTTCTTTGTGGTGTCTGCATTCAAGTCACAGAATTGAACATCCCCTCACATAGAGCAGTTGTGCAGCACTCTATTTGTAGTATCTGGAAGTGGACATTTGGAGGGCTTTGTAGCCTATGTGGAAAAAGGAAATATCTTCCCATGAATGCGAGATAGAAGTAATCTCAGAAACATGTTTATGCTGTATCTACTCAACTAACTGTGCTGAACATTTCTATTGATAGAGCAGTTTTGAGACACTCTTCTTTTGGAATCTGCAAGTGGATATTTGGATAGATTTGAGGATTTCGTTGGAAACGGGATTACATATAAAAAGTAGACAGCAGCATTCTCAGAAACTTCTTTGTGATGTTTGCATCCAGCTCTCAGAGTTGAACATTCCCTTTCATAGAGTAGGTTTGAAACCCTCTTTTTATAGTGTCTGGAAGCGGGCATTTGGAGCGCTTTCAGGCCTATGCTGAAAAAGGAAATATCTACCTATAGAAACTAGACAGAAGCATTCTGAGAATCACGTTTGTGATGTGGGTACTCAACTAACAGTGTTGATCCATTCTTTTGATACAGCAGTTTTGAACCACACTTTTTGTAGAATCTGCAAGTGGATATTTGGATAGCTGTGAGGATTTCGTTGGAAACGGGAATGTCTTCATAGAAAATTTAGACAGAAGCATTCTCAGAACCTTGATTGTGATGTGTGTTCTCCACTAACAGAGTTGAACCTTTCTTTTGACAGAACTGTTCTGAAACATTCTTTTTATAGAATCTGGAAGTGGATATTTGGAAAGCTTTGAGGATTTCGTTGGAAACGGGAATATCTTCAAATAAAATCTAGCCAGAAGCATTCTAAGAAACATCTTAGGGATGTTTACATTCAAGTCACAGAGTTGAACATTCCCTTTCACAGAGCAGGTTTGAAACAATCTTCTCGTACTATCTGGCAGTGGACATTTTGAGCTCCTTGGGGCCTATGCTGAAAAAGGAAATATCTTCCGACAAAAACTAGACAGAAGCATTCGCAGAATCACGTTTGTGATGTGTGCACTCAACTGTCAGAATTGAACCTTGGTTTGGACAGAGCACTTTTGAAACACTCTTTTTGTAGAATCTGCAGGTGGATATTTGGCTAGCTTTGAGGATTTCGTTGGAAACGGTAATGTCTTCAAAGAAAATCTAGACAGAAGCATTCTCAGAAACACCTTCGTGATGTTTGAAATCAAGTCACAGAGTTGAACCTTCCGTTTCATAGAGCAGGTTGGAAACACACTTTTTGTAGTATCTGGAAGTGGACATTTGGAGGGCTTTGTAGCCTATCTGGAAAAAGGAAATATCTTCCCATGAATGCGAGATAGAAGCTATCTCAGGAACTTGTTTATGATGCATCTAATCAACTAACAGTGTTGAACCTTTGTACTGACAGAGCAGTTTGAAACACTCTTTTTTTGGAATCTGCAAGTGGATATTTGGATCGCTTTGAGGATTTCGTTGGAAACGGGATGCAATATAAAACGTACTCAGCAGCATACTCAGAAAATACTTTGCCATATTTCCATTCAAGTCACAGAGTGGAACATTCCCATTCATAGAGCAGGTTGGAAACACTCTTTTTGGAGTATCTGGAAGTGGACATTTGGAGCGCTTTCTGAACTATGGTGAAAAAGGAAATATCTTCCAATGAAAACAAGACAGAAGCATTCTGAGAAACTTATTTGTGATGTGTGTCCTCAACAAACGGACTTGAACCTTTCGTTTCATGCAGTACTTCTGGAACACTCTTTTTGAAGATTCTGCATGCGGATATTTGGATAGCTTTGAGGATTTCGTTGGAAACGGGCTTACATGTAAAAATTAGACAGCAGCATTCTCAGAAACTTCTTTGTGGTGTCTGCATTCAAGTCACAGAATTGAACTTCCCCTCACATAGAGCAGTTGTGCAGCACTCTATTTGTAGTATCTGGAAGTGGACATTTGGAGGGCTTTGTAGCCTATCTGGAAAAAGGAAATATCTTCCCATGAATGCGAGATAGAAGTAATCTGAGAAACATGTTTATGCTGTATCTACTCAACTAACTGTGCTGAACATTTCTATTGATAGAGCAGTTTTGAGACACTCTTCTTTTGGAATCTGCAAGTGGATATTTGGATAGATTTGAGGATTTCGTTGGAAACGGGATTATATATAAAAAGTAGACAGCAGCATTCTCAGAAACTTCTTTGTGATGTTTGCATCCAGCTCCCAGAGTTGAACATTCCCTTTCATAGAGTAGGTTTGAAACCCTCTTTTTATAGTGTCTGGAAGCGGGCATTTGGAGCGCTTTCAGGCCTATGCTGAAAACGGAAATATCTACCTATAGAAACTAGACAGAAGCATTCTGAGAATCACGTTTGTGATGTGGGTACTCAACTAACAGTGTTGATCCATTCTTTTGATACAGCAGTTTTGAACCACACTTTTTGTAGAATCTGCAAGTGGATATTTGGATAGCTGTGAGGATTTCGTTGGAAACGGGAATGTCTTCATAGAAAATTTAGACAGAAGCATTCTCAGAACCTTGATTGTGATGTGTGTTCTCCACTAACAGAGTTGAACCTTTCTTTTGACAGAACTGTTCTGAAACATTCTTTTTATAGAATCTGGAAGTGGATATTTGGAAAGCTTTGAGGATTTCGTTGGAAACGGGAATATCTTCAAATCAAATCTAGCCAGAAGCATTCTAAGAAACATCTTAGGGATGTTTACATTCAAGTCACAGAGTTGAACATTCCCTTTCACAGAGCAGGTTTGAAACAATCTTCTCGTACTATCTGGCAGTGGACATTTTGAGCTCTTTGGGGCCTATGCTGAAAAAGGAAATATCTTCCGACAAAAACTAGTCAGAAGCATTCGCAGAATCACGTTTGTGATGTGTGCACTCAACTGTCAGAATTGAACCTTGGTTTGGACAGAGCACTTTTGAAACACTCTTTTTGTAGAATCTGCAGGTGGATATTTGGCTAGCTTTGAGGATTTCGTTGGAAACGGTAATGTCTTCAAAGAAAATCTAGACAGAAGCATTCTCAGAAACACCTTCGTGATGTTTGCAATCAAGTCACAGAGTTGAACCTTCCGTTTCATAGAGCAGGTTGGAAACACTCTTTTTGTAGTATCTGGAAGTGGACATTTGGAGCGCTTTCAGGCCTATGGTGAAAAAGGAAATATCTTCCCATAAAAACGACATAGAAGCTATCTCAGGAACTTGTTTATGATGCATCTAATCAACTAACAGTGTTGAACCTTTGTACTGACAGAGCAGTTTGAAACACTCTTTTTTTGGAATCTGCAAGTGGATATTTGGATCGCTTTGAGGATTTCGTTGGAAACGGGATGCAATATAAAACGTACACAGCAGCATACTCAGAAAATACTTTGCCATATTTCCATTCAAGTCACAGAGTGGAACATTCCCATTCATAGAGCAGGTTGGAAACACTCTTTTTGGAGTATCTGGAAGTGGACATTTGGAGCGCTTTCTGAACTATGGTGAAAAAGGAAATATCTTCCAATGAAAACAAGACAGAAGCATTCTGAGAAACTTATTTGTGATGTGTGTCCTCAACAAACGGACTTGAACCTTTCGTTTCATGCAGTACTTCTGGAACACTCTTTTTGAAGATTCTGCATGCGGATATTTGGATAGCTTTGAGGATTTCGTTGGAAACGGGCTTACATGTAAAAATTAGACAGCAGCATTCTCAGAAACTTCTCTGTGGTGTCTGCATCCAAGTCACAGAATTGAACATCCCCTCACATAGAGCAGTTGTGCAGCACTCTATTTGTAGTATCTCGAAGTGGACATTTGGAGGGCTTTGTAGCCTATCTGGAAAAAGGAAATATCTTCCCATGAATGCGAGATAGAAGTAATCTCAGAAACATGTTTATGCTGTATCTACTCAACTAACTGTGCTGAACATTTCTATTGATAGAGCAGTTTTCAGACACTCTTCTTTTGGAATCTGCAAGTGGATATTTGGATAGATTTGAGGATTTCGTTGGAAACGGGATTATATATAAAAAGTAGACAGCAGCATTCTCAGAAACTTCTTTGTGATGTTTGCATCCAGCTCTCAGAGTTGAACATTCCCTTTCATAGAGTAGGTTTGAAACCCTCTTTTTATAGTGTCTGGAAGCGGGCATTTGGAGCGCTTTCAGACCTATGCTTAAAATAGGAAATATCTACCTACAGAAACTAGACAGAAAGCATTCTGAGAATCTCGTTTGTGATGTGGGTACTCAACTAACAGTGTTGATCCATTCTTTTGATACAGCAGTTTTGAACCACACTTTTTGTAGAATCTGCAAGAGGATATTTGGATAGCTGTGAGGATTTCGTTGGAAACGGGAATGTCTTCAAAGAAAATCTAGACAGAAGCATTCTCAGAACCTTGATTGTGATGTGTGTTCTCCACTAACAGAGTTGAACCTTTCTTTTGACAGAACTGTTCTGAAACATTCTTTTTATAGAATCTGGAAGTGGATATTTGGAAAGCTTTGAGGATTTCGTTGGAAACGGGAATATCTTCAAATCAAATCTAGCCAGAAGCATTCTAAGAAACATCTTAGGGATGTTTACATTCAAGTCACAGAGTTGAACATTCCCTTTCACAGAGCAGGTTTGAAACAATCTTCTCGTACTATCTGGCAGTGGACATTTTGAGCTCTTTGGGGCCTATGCTGAAAAAGGAAATATCTTCCGACAAAAACTAGTCAGAAGCATTCGCAGAATCACGTTTGTGATGTGTGCACTCAACTGTCAGAATTGAACCTTGGTTTGGACAGAGCACTTTTGAAACACTCTTTTTGTAGAATCTGCAGGTGGATATTTGGCTAGCTTTGAGGATTTCGTTGGAAACGGGAATGTCTTCAAAGAAAATCTAGACAGAAGCATTCTCAGAAACACCTTCGTGATGTTTGCAATCAAGTCACAGAGTTGAACCTTCCGTTTCATAGAGCAGGTTGGAAACACTCTTTTTGTAGTATCTGGAAGTGGACATCTGGAGCGCTTTCAGGCCTATGGTGAAAAAGGAAATATCTTCCCAGAAAAACGATATAGAAGCTATCTCAGGAACTTGTTTATGATGCATCTAATCAACTAACAGTGTTGAACCTTTGTACTGACAGAGCAGTTTGAAACACTCTTTTTTTGGAATCTGCAAGTGGATATTTGGATCGCTTTGAGGATTTCGTTGGAAACGGGATGCAATATAAAACGTACACAGCAGCATACTCAGAAAATACTTTGCCATATTTCCATTCAAGTCACAGAGTGGAACATTCCCATTCATAGAGCAGGTTGGAAACACTCTTTTTGGAGTATCTGGAAGTGGACATTTGGAGCGCTTTCTGAACTATGGTGAAAAAGGAAATATCTTCCAATGAAAACAAGACAGAAGCATTCTGAGAAACTTATTTGTGATGTGTGTCCTCAACAAACGGACTTGAACCTTTCGTTTCATGCAGTACTTCTGGAACACTCTTTTTGAAGATTCTGCATGCGGATATTTGGATAGCTTTGAGGATTTCGTTGGAAACGGCCTTACATGTAAAAATTAGACAGCAGCATTCTCAGAAACTTCTTTGTGGTGTCTGCATTCAAGTCACAGAATTGAACATCCCCTCACATAGAGCAGTTGTGCAGCACTCTATTTGTAGTATCTGGAAGTGGACATTTGGAGGGCTTTGTAGCCTATGTGGAAAAAGGAAATATCTTCCCATGAATGCGAGATAGAAGTAATCTCAGAAACATGTTTATGCTGTATCTACTCAACTAACTGTGCTGAACATTTCTATTGATAGAGCAGTTTTGAGACACTCTTCTTTTGGAATCTGCAAGTGGATATTTGGAGAGATTTGAGGATTTCGTTGGAAACGGGATTATATATAAAAAGTAGACAGCAGCATTCTCAGAAACTTCTTTGTGATGTTTGCATCCAGCTCTCAGAGTTGAACATTCCCTTTCATAGAGTAGGTTTGAAACCCCCTTTTTATAGTGTCTGGAAGCGGGCATTTGGAGCGCTTTCAGGCCTATGCTGAAAAAGGAAATATCTACCTACAGAAACTAGACAGAAGCATTCTGAGAATCACGTTTGTGATGTGGGTACTCAACTAACAGTGTTGATCCATTCTTTTGATACAGCAGTTTTGAACCACCCTTTTCGTAGAATCTGCAAGTGGATATTTGGATAGCTGTGAGGATTTCGTTGGAAACGGGAATGTCTTCATAGAAAATTTAGACAGAAGCATTCTCAGAACCTTGATTGTGATGTGTGTTCTCCACTAACAGAGTTGAACCTTTCTTTTGACAGAACTGTTCTGAAACATTCTTTTTATAGAATCTGGAAGTGGATATTTGGAAAGCTTTGAGGATTTCGTTGGAAACGGGAATATCTTCAAATCAAATCTAGCCAGAAGCATTCTAAGAAACATCTTAGGGATGTTTACATTCAAGTCACAGAGTTGAACATTCCCTTTCACAGAGCAGGTTTGAAACAATCTTCTCGTACTATCTGGCAGTGGACATTTTGAGCTCCTTGGGGCCTATGCTGAAAAAGGAAATATCTTCCGACAAAAACTAGACAGAAGCATTCGCAGAATCACGTTTGTGATGTGTGCACTCAATTGTCAGAATTGAACCTTGGTTTGGACAGAGCACTTTTGAAACACTCTTTTTGTAGAATCTGCAGGTGGATATTTGGCTAGCTTTGAGGATTTCGTTGGAAACGGTAATGTCTTCAAAGAAAATCTAGACAGAAGCATTCTCAGAAACACCTTCGTGATGTTTGCAATCAAGTCACAGAGTTGAACCTTCCGTTTCATAGAGCAGGTTGGAAACACTCTTATTGTAGTATCTGGAAGTGGACATTTGGAGCGCTTTCAGGCCTATGGTGAAAAAGGAAATATCTTCCCATAAAAACGACATAGAATCTATATCAGGAACTTGTTTATGATGCATCTAATCAACTAACAGTGTTGAACCTTTGTACTGACAGAGCAGTTTGAAACACTCTTTTTTTGGAATCTGCAAGTGGATATTTGGATCGCTTTGAGGATTTCGTTGGAAACGGGATGCAATATAAAACGTACACAGCAGCATACTCAGAAAATACTTTGCCATATTTCCATTCAAGTCACAGAGTGGAACATTCCCATTCATAGAGCAGGTTGGAAACACTCTTTTTGGAGTATCTGGAAGTGGACATTTGGAGCGCTTTCTGAACTATGGTGAAAAAGGAAATATCTTCCAATGAAAACAAGACAGAAGCATTCTGAGAAACTTATGTGTGATGTGTGTCCTCAACTAACGGACTTGAACCTTTCGTTTCATGCAGTACTTCTGGAACACTCTTTTTGAAGATTCTGCATGCGGATATTTGGATAGCTTTGAGGATTTCGTTGGAAACGGGCTTACATATAAAAATTAGACAGCAGCATTCTCAGAAACTTCTTTGTGGTGTCTGCATTCAAGTCACAGAATTGAACTTCCCCTCACATAGAGCAGTTGTGCAGCACTCTATTTGTAGTATCTGGAAGTGGACATTTGGAGGGCTTTGTAGCCTATCTGGAAAAAGGAAATATCTTCCCATGAATGCGAGATAGAAGTAATCTCAGAAACATGTTTATGCTGTATCTACTCAACTAACTGTGCTGAACATTTCTATTGATAGAGCAGTTTTGAGACACTCTTCTTTTGGAATCTGCAAGTGGATATTTGGATAGATTTGAGGATTTCGTTGGAAACGGGATTATATATCAAAAGTAGACAGCAGCATTCTCAGAAACTTCTTTGTGATGTTTGCATCCAGCTCTCAGAGTTGAACATTCCCTTTCATAGAGTAGGTTTGAAACCCTCTTTTTATAGTGTCTGGAAGCGGGCATTTGGAGCGCTTTCAGGCCTATGCTGAAAAAGGAAATATCTACCTATAGAAACTAGACAGAAGCATTCTGAGAATCACGTTTGTGATGTGGGTACTCAACTAACAGTGTTGATCCATTCTTTTGATACAGCAGTTTTGAACCACACTTTTTGTAGAATCTGCAAGTGGATATTTGGATAGCTGTGAGGATTTCGTTGGAAACGGGAATGTCTTCATAGAAAATTTAGACAGAAGCATTCTCAGAACCTTGATTGTGATGTGTGTTCTCCACTAACAGAGTTGAACCTTTCTTTTGACAGAAATGTTCTGAAACATTCTTTTTATAGAATCTGGAAGTGGATATTTGGAAAGCTTTGAGGATTTCATTGGAAACGGGAATATCTTCAAATAAAATCTAGCCAGAAGCATTCTAAGAAACATCTTAGGGATGTTTACATTCAAGTCACAGAGTTGAACATTCCCTTTCACAGAGCAGGTTTGAAACAATCTTCTCGTAGTATCTGGAAGTGGACATTTTGAGCTCCTTGGGGCCTATGCTGAAAAAGGAAATATCTTCCGACAAAAACTAGACAGAAGCATTCGCAGAATCACGTTTGTGATGTGTGCACTCAACTGTCAGAATTGAACCTTGGTTTGGACAGAGCACTTTTGAAACACTCTTTTTGTAGAATCTGCAGGTGGATATTTGGCTAGCTTTGAGGATTTCGTTGGAAACGGTAATGTCTTCAAAGAAAATCTAGACAGAAGCATTCTCAGAAACACCTTCGTGCATGTTTGCAATCAAGTCACAGTAGTTGAACCTTCCGTTTCATAGAGCAGGCTGGAAACACTCTTTCTGTAGTATCTGGAAGTGGACATTTGGAGGGCTTTGTAGCCTATGTGGAAAAAGGAAATATCTTCCCATGAATGCGAGATAGAAGCTATCTCAGGAACTTGTTTATGATGCATCTAATCAACTAACAGTGTTGAACCTTTGTACTGACAGAGCAGTTTGAAACACTCTTTTTTTGGAATCTGCAAGTGGATATTTGGATCGCTTTGAGGATTTCGTTGGAAACGGGATGCAATATAAAACGTACACAGCAGCATACTCAGAAAATACTTTGCCATATTTCCATTCAAGTCACAGAGTGGAACATTCCCATTCATAGAGCAGGTTGGAAACACTCTTTTTGGAGTATCTGGAAGTGGACATTTGGAGCGCTTTCTGAACTATGGTGAAAAAGGAAATATCTTCCAATGAAAACAAGACAGAAGCATTCTGAGAAACTTATTTGTGATGTGTGTCCTCAACAAACGGACTTGAACCTTTCGTTTCATGCAGTACTTCTGGAACACTCTTTTTGAAGATTCTGCATGCGGATATTTGGATAGCTTTGAGGATTTCGTTGGAAACGGGCTTACATGTAAAAATTAGACAGCAGCATTCTCAGAAACTTCTTTGTGGTGTCTGCATTCAAGTCACAGAATTGAACATCCCCTCACATAGAGCAGTTGTGCAGCACTCTATTTGTAGTATCTGGAAGTGGACATTTGGAGGGCTTTGTAGCCTATCTGGAAAAAGGAAATATCTTCCCATGAATGCGAGATAGAAGTAATCTCAGAAACATGTTTATGCTGTATCTACTCAACTAACTGTGCTGAACATTTCTATTGATAGAGCAGTTTTGAGACACTCTTCTTTTGGAATCTGCAAGTGGATATTTGGATAGATTTGAGGATTTCGTTGGAAACGGGATTATATATAAAAAGTAGACAGCAGCATTCTCAGAAACTTCTTTGTGATGTTTGCATCCAGCTCTCAGAGTTGAACATTCCCTTTCATAGAGTAGGTTTGAAACCCTCTTTTTATAGTGTCTGGAAGCGGGCATTTGGAGCGCTTTCAGGCCTATGCTGAAAAAGGAAATATCTACCTATAGAAACTAGACAGAAGCATTCTGAGAATCACGTTTGTGATGTGGGTACTCAACTAACAGTGTTGATCCATTCTTTTGATACAGCAGTTTTGAACCACACTTTTTGTAGAATCTGCAAGTGGATATTTGGATAGCTGTGAGGATTTCGTTGGAAACGGGAATGTCTTCATAGAAAATTTAGACAGAAGCATTCTCAGAACCTTGATTGTGATGTGTGTTCTCCACTAACAGAGTTGAACCTTTCTTTTGACAGAACTGTTCTGAAACATTCTTTTTATAGAATCTGGAAGTGGATATTTGGAAAGCTTTGAGGATTTCGTTGGAAACGGGAATATCTTCAAATAAAATCTAGCCAGAAGCATTCTAAGAAACATCTTAGGGATGTTTACATTCAAGTCACAGAGTTGAACATTCCCTTTCACAGAGCAGGTTTGAAACAATCTTCTCGTACTATCTGGCAGTGGACATTTTGAGCTCCTTGGGGCCTATGCTGAAAAAGGAAATATCTTCCGACAAAAACTAGACAGAAGCATTCGCAGAATCACGTTTGTGATGTGTGCACTCAACTGTCAGAATTGAACCTTGGTTTGGAGAGAGCACTTTTGAAACACTCTTTTTGTAGAATCTGCAGGTGGATATTTGGCTAGCTTTGAGGATTTCGTTGGAAACGGTAATGTCTTCAAAGAAAATCTAGACAGAAGCATTCTCAGAAACACCTTCGTGACGTTTGCAATCAAGTCACAGAGATGAAACTTCCGTTTCATAGAGCAGGTTGGAAACACTCTTTTTGTAGTATCTGGAAGTGGACATTTGGAGTGCTTTCAGGCCTATGGTGAAAAAGGAAATATCTTCCCATAAAAACGACATAGAAGCTATCTCAGGAACTTGTTTATGATGCATCTAATCAACTAACAGTGTTGAACCTTTGTACTGACAGAGCAGTTTGAAACACTCTTTTTTTGGAATCTGCAAGTGGATATTTGGATCGCTTTGAGGATTTCGTTGGAAACGGGATGCAATATAAAACGTACACAGCAGCATACTCAGAAAATACTTTGCCATATTTCCATTCAAGTCACAGAGTGGAACATTCCCATTCATAGAGCAGGTTGGAAACACTCTTTTTGGAGTATCTGGAAGTGGACATTTGGAGCGCTTTCTGAACTATGGTGAAAAAGGAAATATCTTCCAATGAAAACAAGACAGAAGCATTCTGAGAAACTTATTTGTGATGTGTGTCCTCAACTAACGGACTTGAACCTTTCGTTTCATGCAGTACTTCTGGAACACTCTTTTTGAAGATTCTGCATGCGGATATTTGGATAGCTTTGAGGATTTCGTTGGAAACGGGCTTACATATAAAAATTAGACAGCAGCATTCTCAGAAACTTCTTTGTGGTGTCTGCATTCAAGTCACAGAATTGAACTTCCCCTCACATAGAGCAGTTGTGCAGCACTCTATTTGTAGTATCTGGAAGTGGACATTTGGAGGGCTTTGTAGCCTATCTGGAAAAAGGAAATATCTTCCCATGAATGCGAGATAGAAGTAATCTCAGAAACATGTTTATGCTGTATCTACTGAACTAAATGTGCTGAACATCTCTATTGATAGAGCAGTTTTGAGACTCTCTTCTTTTGGAATCTGCAAGTGGATATTTGGATAGATTTGAGGATTTCGCTGGCAACGGGATTATATATCAAAACTAGACAGCAGCATTCTCAGAAACTTCTTTGTGATGTTTGCATCCAGCTCTCAGAGTTGAACATTCCCTTTCATAGAGTAGGTTTGAAACCCTCTTTTTATAGTGTCTGGAAGCGGGCATTTGGAGCGCTTTCACACCTATGCTGAAAAAGGAAATATCTACCTATAGAAACTAGACAGAAGCATTCTGAGAATCACGTTTGTGATGTGGGTACTCAACTAACAGTGTTGATCCATTCTTTTGATACAGCAGTTTTCAACCACACTTTTTGTAGAATCTGCAAGTGGATATTTGGATAGCTGTGAGGATTTCCTTGGAAACGGGAATGCCTTCATAGAAAATTTAGACAGAAGCATTCTCAGAACATTGATTGTGATGTGTGTTCTCCACTAACAGAGTTGAACCTTTCTTTTGACAGAACTGTTCTGAAACATTCTTTTTATAGAATCTGGAAGTGGATATTTGGAAAGCTTTGAGGATTTCGTTGTAAACGGGAATATCTTCAAATCAAATCTAGCCAGAAGCATTCTAAGAAACATCTTAGGGATGTTTACATTCAAGTCACAGAGTTGAACATTCCCTTTCACAGAGCAGGTTTGAAACAATCTTCTCGTACTATCTGGAAGTGGACATTTTGAGCTCCTTGGGGCCTATGCTGAGAAAGGAAATATCTTCCGACAAAAACTAGACAGAAGCATTCGCAGAATCACGTTTGTGATGTGTGCACTCAACTGTCAGAATTGAACCTTTGTTTGGACAGAGCACTTTTGAAACACTCTTTTTGTAGGATCTGCAGGTGGATATTTGGCTAGCTTTGAGGATTTCGTTGGAAACGGTAATGTCTTCAAAGAAAATCTAGACAGAAGCATTCTCAGAAACACCTTCGTGATGTTTGCAATCAAGTCACAGAGTTGAACCTTCCGTTTCATAGAGCAGGTTGGAAACACTCTTTTTGTAGTATCTGGAAGTGGACATTTGGAGCGCTTTCAGGCCTATGGTGAAAAAGGAAATATCTTCCCATAAAAACGACATAGAAGCTATCTCAGGAACTTGTTTATGAGGCATCTAATCAACTAACAGTGTTGAACCTTTGTACTGACAGAGCAGTTTGAAACACTCTTTTTTTGGAATCTGCAAGTGGATATTTGGATCGCTTTGAGGATTTCGTTGGAAACGGGATGCAATATAAAACGTACACAGCAGCATA
Source organism: Homo sapiens (assembly GCF_000001405.40). NCBI lineage: Eukaryota > Metazoa > Chordata > Mammalia > Primates > Hominidae > Homo > Homo sapiens. The sequence continues at coordinate 45,742,466 of NC_000008.11, forward strand.
CTCAGAAAATACTTTGCCATATTTCCATTCAAGTCACAGAGTGGAACATTCCCATTCATAGAGCAGGTTTGAAACACTCTTTTTGGAGTATCTGGAAGTGGACATTTGGAGCGCTTTCTGAACTATGGTGAAAAAGGAAATATCTTCCAATGAAAACAAGACAGAAGCATTCTGAGAAACTTATTTGTGATGTGTGTCCTCAACAAACGGACTTGAACCTTTCGTTTCATGCAGTACTTCTGGAACACTCTTTTTGAAGATTCTGCATGCGGATATTTGGATAGATTTGAGGATTTCGTTGGAAACGGGCTTACATGTAAAAATTAGACAGCAGCATTCTCAGAAACTTCTTTGTGGTGTCTGCATTCAAGTCACAGAATTGAACTTCCCCTCACATAGAGCAGTTGTGCAGCACTCTATTTGTAGTATCTGGAAGTGGACATTTGGAGGGCTTTGTAGCCTATCTGGAAAAAGGAAATATCTTCCCATGAATGCGAGATAGAAGTAATCTGAGAAACATGTTTATGCTGTATCTACTCAACTAACTGTGCTGAACATTTCTATTGATAGAGCAGTTTTGAGACCCTCTTCTTTTGGAATCTGCAAGTGGATATTTGGATAGATTTGAGGATTTCGTTGGAAACGGGATTATATATAAAAAGTAGACAGCAGCATTCTCAGAAACTTCTTTGTGATGTTTGCATCCAGCTCTCAGAGTTGAACATTCCCTTTCATAGAGTAGGTTTGAAACCCTCTTTTTGTAGTGTCTGGAAGCGGGCATTTGGAGCGCTTTCAGGCCTATGTTTAAAATAGGAAATATCTACCTACAGAAACTAGACAGAAGCATTCTGAGAATCACGTTTGTGATGTGGGTACTCAACTAACAGTGTTGATCCATTCTTTTGATACAGCAGTTTTGAACCACACTTTTTGTAGAATCTGCAAGAGGATATTTGGATAGCTGTGAGGATTTCGTTGGAAACGGGGATGTCTTCAAAGAAAATCTAGACAGAAGCATTCTCAGAAACACCTTCGTGATGTTTGCAATCAAGTCACAGAGTTGAACCTTCCGTTTCATAGAGCAGGTTGGAAACACTCTTTTTGTAGTATCTGGAAGTGGACATTTGGAGCGCTTTCAGGCCTATGGTGAAAAAGGAAATATCTTCCCATAAAAACGACATAGAATCTATATCAGGAACTTGTTTATGATGCATCTAATCAACTAACAGTGTTGAACCTTTGTACTGACAGAGCAGTTTGAAACACTCTTTTTTTGGAATCTGCAAGTGGATATTTGGATCGCTTTGAGGATTTCGTTGGAAACGGGATGCAATATAAAACGTACACAGCAGCATTCTCAGAAACACCTTCGTGATGTTTGCAATCAAGTCACAGAGTTGAACCTTCCGTTTCATACAGCAGGTTGGAAACACTCTTTTTGGAGTATCTGGAAGTGGACATTTGGAGCGCTTTCTGAACTATGGTGAAAAAGGAAATATCTTCCAATGAAAACAAGACAGAAGCATTCTGAGAAACTTATTTGTGATGTGTGTCCTCAACAAACGGACTTGAACCTTTCGTTTCATGCAGTACTTCTGGAACACTCTTTTTGAAGATTCTGCATGCGGATATTTGGATAGCTTTGAGGATTTCGTTGGAAACGGGCTTACATGTAAAAATTAGACAGCAGCATTCTCAGAAACTTCTCTGTGGTGTCTGCATCCAAGCCACAGAATTGAACATCCCCTCACATACAGCAGTTGTGCAGCACTCTATTTGTAGTATCTCGAAGTGGACATTTGGAGGGCTTTGTAGCCTATCTGGAAAAAGGAAATATCTTCCCATGAATGCGAGATAGAAGTAATCTCAGAAACATGTTTATGCTGTATCTACTCAACTAACTGTGCTGAACATTTCTATTGATAGAGCAGTTTTGAGACACTCTTCTTTTGGAATCTGCAAGTGGATATTTGGATAGATTTGAGGATTTCGTTGGCAACGGGATTATATATAAAAAGTAGACAGCAGCATTCTCAGAAACTTCTTTGTGATGTTTGCATCCAGCTCTCAGAGTTGAACATTCCCTTTCATAGAGTAGGTTTGAAACCCTCTTTTTATAGTGTCTGGAAGCGGGCATTTGGAGCGCTTTCAGGCCTATGCTGAAAAAGGAAATATCTACCTATAGAAACTAGACAGAAGCATTCTGAGAATCACGTTTGTGATGTGGGTACTCAACTAACAGTGTTGATCCATTCTTTTGATACAGCAGTTTTGAACCACCCTTTTTGTAGAATCTGCAAGTGGATATTTGGATAGCTGTGAGGATTTCGTTGGAAACGGGAATGTCTTCATAGAAAATTTAGACAGAAGCATTCTCAGAACCTTGATTGTGATGTGTGTTCTCCACTAACAGAGTTGAACCTTTCTTTTGACAGAACTGTTCTGAAACATTCTTTTTATAGAATCTGGAAGTGGATATTTGGAAAGCTTTGAGGATTTCGTTGGAAACGGGAATATCTTCAAATAAAATCTAGCCAGAAGCATTCTAAGAAACATCTTAGGGATGTTTACATTCAAGTCACAGAGTTGAACATTCCCTTTCACAGCAGCAGGTTTGAAACAATCTTCTCGTACTATCTGGCAGTGGACATTTTGAGCTCCTTGGGGCCTATGCTGAAAAAGGAAATATCTTCCGACAAAAACTAGACAGAAGCATTCGCAGAATCACGTTTGTGATGTGTGCACTCAACTGTCAGAATTGAACCTTGGTTTGGACAGAGCACTTTTGAAACACTCTTTTTGTAGAATCTGCAGGTGGATATTTGGCTAGCTTTGAGGATTTCGTTGGAAACGGTAATGTCTTCAAAGAAAATCTAGACAGAAGCATTCTCAGAAACACCTTCGTGATGTTTGCAATCAAGTCACAGAGTTGAACCTTCCGTTTCATAGAGCAGGTTGGAAACACTCTTTTTGTAGTATCTGGAAGTGGACATTTGGAGCGCTTTCAGGCCTATGGTGAAAAAGGAAATATCTTCCCATAAAAACGACATAGAAGCTATCTCAGGAACTTGTTTATGATGCATCTAATCAACTAACAGTGTTGAACCTTTGTACTGACAGAGCAGTTTGAAACACTCTTTTTTTGGAATCTGCAAGTGGATATTTGGATCGCTTTGAGGATTTCGTTGGAAACGGGATGCAATATAAAACGTACACAGCAGCATACTCAGAAAATACTTTGCCATGTTTCCATTCAAGTCACAGAGTGGAACATTCCCATTCATAGAGCAGGTTGGAAACACTCTTTTTGGAGTATCTGGAAGTGGACATTTGGAGCGCTTTCTGAACTATGGTGAAAAAGGAAATATCTTCCAATGAAAACAAGACAGAAGCATTCTGAGAAACTTATTTGTGATGTGTGTCCTCAACAAACGGACTTGAACCTTTCGTTTCATGCAGTACTTCTGGAACACTCTTTTTGAAGATTCTGCATGCGGATATTTGGATAGCTTTGAGGATTTCGTTGGAAACGGGCTTACATGTAAAAATTAGACAGCAGCATTCTCAGAAACTTCTTTGTGGTGTCTGCATTCAAGTCACAGAATTTAACTTCCCCTCACATAGAGCAGTTGTGCAGCACTCTATTTGTAGTATCTGGAAGTGGACATTTGGAGGGCTTTGTAGCCTATCTGGAAAAAGGAAATATCTTCCCATGAATGCGAGATAGATGTAATCTCAGAAACATGTTTATGCTGTATGTACTCAACTAACTGTGCTGAACATTTCTATTGATAGAGCAGTTTTGAGACCCTCTTCTTTTGGAATCTGCAAGTGGATATTTGGATAGATTTGAGGATTTCGTTGGAAACGGGATTATATATAAAAAGTAGACAGCAGCATTCTCAGAAACTTCTTTGTGATGTTTGCATCCAGCTCTCAGAGTTGAACATTCCCTTTCATAGAGTAGGTTTGAAACCCTCTTTTTATAGTGTCTGGAAGCGGGCATTTGGAGCGCTTTCAGGCCTATGCTGAAAAAGGAAATATCTACCTGTAGAAACTAGACAGAAGCATTCTGAGAATCACGTTTGTGATGTGGGTACTCAACTAACAGTGTTGATCCATTCTTTTGATACAGCAGTTTTGAACCACACTTTTTGTAGAATCTGCAAGTGGATATTTGGATAGCTGTGAGGATTTCGTTGGAAACGGGAATGTCTTCATAGAAAATTTAGACAGAAGCATTCTCAGAACCTTGATTGTGATGTGTGTTCTCCACTAACAGAGTTGAACCTTTCTTTTGACAGAACTGTTCTGAAACATTCTTTTTATAGAATCTGGAAGTGGATATTTGGAAAGCTTTGAGGATTTCGTTGGAAACGGGAATATCTTCAAATCAAATCTAGCCAGAAGCATTCTAAGAAACATCTTAGGGATGTTTACATTCAAGTCACAGAGTTGAACATTCCCTTTCACAGAGCAGGTTTGAAACAATCTTCTCGTACTATCTGGCAGTGGACATTTTGAGCTCCTTGGGGCCTATGCTGAAAAAGGAAATATCTTCCGACAAAAACTAGACAGAAGCATTCGCAGAATCACGTTTGTGATGTGTGCACTCAACTGTCAGAATTGAACCTTGGTTTGGAGAGAGCACTTTTGAAACACTCTTTTTGTAGAATCTGCAGGTGGATATTTGGCTAGCTTTGAGGATTTCGTTGGAAACGGTAATGTCTTCAAAGAAAATCTAGACAGAAGCATTCTCAGAAATACCTTCGTGATGTTTGCAATCAAGTCACAGAGTTGAACCTTCCGTTTCATAGAGCAGGTTGGAAACACACTTTTTGTAGTATCTGGAAGTGGACATTTGGAGGGCTTTGTAGCCTATCTGGAAAAAGGAAATATCTTCCCATGAATGCGAGATAGAAGCTATCTCAGGAACTTGTTTATGATGCATCTAATCAACTAACAGTGTTGAACCTTTGTACTGACAGAGCAGTTTGAAACACTCTTTTTTTGGAATCTGCAAGTGGATATTTGGATCGCTTTGAGGATTTCGTTGGAAACGGGATGCAATATAAAACGTACACAGCAGCATACTCAGAAAATACTTTGCCATATTTCCATTCAAGTCACAGAGTGGAACATTCCCATTCATAGAGCAGGTTGGAAACACTCTTTTTGGAGTATCTGGAAGTGGACATTTGGAGCGCTTTCTGAACTATGGTGAAAAAGGAAATATCTTCCAATGAAAACAAGACAGAAGCATTCTGAGAAACTTATTTGTGATGTGTGTCCTCAACTAACGGACTTGAACCTTTCGTTTCATGCAGTACTTCTGGAACACTCTTTTTGAAGATTCTGCATGCGGATATTTGGATTGCTTTGAGGATTTCGTTGGAAACGGGCTTACATGTAAAAATTAGACAGCAGCATTCTCAGAAACTTCTTTGTGGTGTCTGCATTCAAGTCACAGAATTGAACTTCCCCTCACATAGAGCAGTTGTGCAGCACTCTATTTGTAGTATCTCGAAGTGGACATTTGGAGGGCTTTGTAGCCTATCTGGAAAAAGGAAATATCTTCCCATGAATGCGAGATAGAAGTAATCTCAGAAACATGTTTATGCTGTATCTACTCAACTAACTGTGCTGAACATTTCTATTGATAGAGCAGTTTTGAGACACTCTTCTTTTGGAATCTGCAAGTGGATATTTGGATAGATTTGAGGATTTCGTTGGAAACGGGATTATATATAAAAAGTAGACAGCAGCATTCTCAGAAACTTCTTTGTGATGTTTGCATCCAGCTCTCAGAGTTGAACATTCCCTTTCATAGAGTAGGTTTGAAACCCTCTTTTTATAGTGTCTGGAAGCGGGCATTTGGAGCGCTTTCGGGCCTATGCTGAAAAAGGAAATATCTACCTATAGAAACTAGACAGAAGCATTCTGAGAATCACGTTTGTGATGTGGGTACTCAACTAACAGTGTTGATCCATTCTTTTGATACAGCAGTTTTGAACCACACTTTTTGTAGAATCTGCAAGAGGATATTTGGATAGCTGTGAGGATTTCGTTGGAAACGGGAATGTCTTCAAAGAAAATCTAGACAGAAGCATTCTCAGAACCTTGATTGTGATGTGTGTTCTCCACTAACAGAGTTGAACCTTTCTTTTGACAGAACTGTTCTGAAACATTCTTGTTATAGAATCTGGAAGTGGATATTTGGAAAGCTTTGAGGATTTCGTTGGAAACGGGAATATCTTCAAATCAAATCTAGCCAGAAGCATTCTAAGAAACATCTTAGGGATGTTTACATTCAAGTCACAGAGTTGAACATTCCCTTTCACAGAGCAGGTTTGAAACAATCTTCTCGTACTATCTGGCAGTGGACATTTTGAGCTCCTTGGGGCCTATGCTGAAAAAGGAAATATCTTCCGACAAAAACTAGACAGAAGCATTCGCAGAATCACGTTTGTGATGTGTGCACTCAACTGTCAGAATTGAACCTTGGTTTGGACAGAGCACTTTTGAAACACTCTTTTTGTAGAATCTGCAGGTGGATATTTGGCTAGCTTTGAGGATTTCGTTGGAAACGGTAATGTCTTCAAAGAAAATCTAGACAGAAGCATTCTCAGAAACACCTTCGTGATGTTTGCAATCAAGTCACAGAGTTGAACCTTCCGTTTCATAGAGCAGGTTGGAAACACTCTTATTGTAGTATCTGGAAGTGGACATTTGGAGCGCTTTCAGGCCTATGGTGAAAAAGGAAATATCTTCCCATAAAAACGACATAGAAGCTATCTCAGGAACTTGTTTATGATGCATCTAATCAACTAACAGTGTTGAACCTTTGTACTGACAGAGCAGTTTGAAACACTCTTTTTTTGGAATCTGCAAGTGGATATTTGGATCGCTTTGAGGATTTCGTTGGAAACGGGATGCAATATAAAACGTACACAGCAGCATACTCAGAAAATACTTTGCCATATTTCCATTCAAGTCACAGAGTGGAACATTCCCATTCATAGAGCAGGTTGGAAACACTCTTTTTGGAGTATCTGGAAGTGGACATTTGGAGCGCTTTCTGAACTATGGTGAAAAAGGAAATATCTTCCAATGAAAACAACACAGAAGCATTCTGAGAAACTTATTTGTGATGTGTGTCCTCAACAAACGGACTTGAACCTTTCGTTTCATGCAGTACTTCTGGAACACTCTTTTTGAAGATTCTGCATGCGGATATTTGGATAGCTTTGAGGATTTCGTTGGAAACGGGCTTACATGTAAAAATTAGACAGCAGCATTCTCAGAAACTTCTTTGTGGTGTCTGCATTCAAGTCACAGAATTGAACTTCCCCTCACATAGAGCAGTTGTGCAGCACTCTATTTGTAGTATCTGGAAGTGGACATTTGGAGGGCTTTGTAGCCTATCTGGAAAAAGGAAATATCTTCCCATGAATGCGAGATAGAAGTAATCTCAGAAACATGTTTATGCTGTATCTACTCAACTAACTGTGCTGAACATTTCTATTGATAGAGCAGTTTTGAGACACTCTTCTTTTGGAATCTGCAAGTGGATATTTGGATAGATTTGAGGATTTCGTTGGAAACGGGATTATATATAAAAAGTAGACAGCAGCATTCTCAGAAACTTCTTTGTGATGTTTGCATCCAGCTCTCAGAGTTGAACATTCCCTTTCATAGAGTAGGTTTGAAACCCTCTTTTTATAGTGTCTGGAAGCGGGCATTTGGAGCGCTTTCAGGTCTATGCTTAAAATAGGAAATATCTACCTACAGAAACTAGACAGAAGCATTCTGAGAATCACGTTTGTGATGTGGGTACTCAACTAACAGTGTTGATCCATTCTTTTGATACAGCAGTTTTGAACCACATTTTTTGTAGAATCTGCAAGTGGATATTTGGATAGCTGTGAGGATTTCGTTGGAAACGGGAATGTCTTCATAGAAAATTTAGACAGAAGCATTTTCAGAACTTTGATTGTGATGTGTGTTCTCCACTAACAGAGTTGAACCTTTCTTTTGACAGAACTGTTCTGAAACATTCTTTTTATAGAATCTGGAAGTGGATATTTGGAAAGCTTTGAGGATTTCGTTGGAAACGGGAATATCTTCAAATCAAATCTAGCCAGAAGCATTCTAAGAAACATCTTAGGGATGTTTACATTCAAGTCACAGAGTTGAACATTCCCTTTCACAGAGCAGGTTTGAAACAATCTTCTCGTACTATCTGGCAGTGGACATTTTGAGCTCCTTGGGGCCTATGCTGAAAAAGGAAATATCTTCCGACAAAAACTAGACAGAAGCATTCGCAGAATCACGTTTGTGATGTGTGCACTCAACTGTCAGAATTGAACCTTGGTTTGGACAGAGCACTTTTGAAACACTCTTTTTGTAGAATCTGCAGGTGGATATTTGGCTAGCTTTGAGGATTTCGTTGGAAACGGTAATGTCTTCAAAGAAAATCTAGACAGAAGCATTCTCAGAAACACCTTCGTGATGTTTGCAATCAAGTCACAGAGTTGAACCTTCCGTTTCATAGAGCAGGTTGGAAACACTCTTATTGTAGTATCTGGAAGTGGACATTTGGAGCGCTTTCAGGCCTATGGTGAAAAAGGAAATATCTTCCCATAAAAACGACATAGAAGCTATCTCAGGAACTTGTTTATGATGCATCTAATCAACTAACAGTGTTGAACCTTTGTACTGACAGAGCAGTTTGAAACACTCTTTTTTTGGAATCTGCAAGTGGATATTTGGATCGCTTTGAGGATTTCGTTGGAAACGGGATGCAATATAAAACGTACACAGCAGCATACTCAGAAAATACTTTGCCATATTTCCATTCAAGTCACAGAGTGGAACATTCCCATTCATAGAGCAGGTTGGAAACACTCTTTTTGGAGTATCTGGAAGTGGACATTTGGAGCGCTTTCTGAACTATGGTGAAAAAGGAAATATCTTCCAATGAAAACAAGACAGAAGCATTCTGAGAAACTTATTTGTGATGTGTGTCCTCAACTAACGGACTTGAACCTTTCGTTTCATGCAGTACTTCTGGAACACTCTTTTTGAAGATTCTGCATGCGGATATTTGGATAGCTTTGAGGATTTCATTGGAAACGGGCTTACATATAAAAATTAGACAGCAGCATTCTCAGAAACTTCTCTGTGGTGTCTGCATTCAAGTCACAGAATTGAACATCCCCTCACATAGAGCAGCTGTGCAGCACTCTATTTGTAGTATCTCGAAGTGGACATTTGGAGGGCTTTGTAGCCTATCTGGAAAAAGGAAATATCTTCCCATGAATGCGAGATAGAAGTAATCTCAGAAACATGTTTATGCTGTATCTACTCAACTAACTGTGCTGAACATTTCTATTGATAGAGCAGTTTTGAGACACTCTTCTTTTGGAATCTGCAAGTGGATATTTGGATAGATTTGAGGATTTCGTTGGAAACGGGATTATATATAAAAAGTAGACAGCAGCATTCTCAGAAACTTCTTTGTGATGTTTGCATCCAGCTCTCAGAGTTGAACATTCCCTTTCATAGAGTAGGTTTGAAACCCTCTTTTTATAGTGTCTGGAAGCGGGCATTTGGAGCGCTTTCAGGCCTATGCTGAAAAAGGAAATATCTACCTATAGAAACTAGACAGAAGCATTCTGAGAATCACGTTTGTGATGTGGGTACTCAACTAACAGTGTTGATCCATTCTTTTGATACAGCAGTTTTGAACCACACTTTTTGTAGAATCTGCAAGTGGATATTTGGATAGCTGTGAGGATTTCGTTGGAAACGGTAATGTCTTCAAAGAAAATCTAGACAGAAGCATTCTCAGAACCTTGATTGTGATGTGTGTTCTCCACTAACAGAGTTGAACCTTTCTTTTGACAGAACTGTTCTGAAACATTCTTGTTATAGAATCTGGAAGTGGATATTTGGAAAGCTTTGAGGATTTCGTTGGAAACGGGAATATCTTCAAATCAAATCTAGCCAGAAGCATTCTAAGAAACATCTTAGGGATGTTTACATTCAAGTCACAGAGTTGAACATTCCCTTTCACAGAGCAGGTTTGAAACAATCTTCTCGTACTATCTGGCAGTGGACATTTTGAGCTCCTTGGGGCCTATGCTGAAAAAGGAAATATCTTCCGACAAAAACTAGACAGAAGCATTCGCAGAATCACGTTTGTGATGTGTGCACTCAACTGTCAGAATTGAACCTTGGTTTGGACAGAGCACTTTTGAAACACTCTTTTTGTAGAATCTGCAGGTGGATATTTGGCTAGCTTTGAGGATTTCGTTGGAAACGGTAATGTCTTCAAAGAAAATCTAGACAGAAGCATTCTGAGGAACACCTTCGTGATGTTTGCAATCAAGTCACAGAGTTGAACCTTCCGTTTCATAGAGCAGGTTGGAAACACTCTTATTGTAGTATCTGGAAGTGGACATTTGGAGCGCTTTCAGGCCTATGGTGAAAAAGGAAATATCTTCCCATAAAAACGACATAGAAGCTATCTCAGGATCTTGTTTATGATGCATCTAATCAACTAACAGTGTTGAACCTTTGTACTGACAGAGCACTTTGAAACACTCTTTTTTTGGAATCTGCAAGTGGATATTTGGATCGCTTTGAGGATTTCGTTGGAAACGGGATGCAATATAAAACGTACACAGCAGCATACTCAGAAAATACTTTGCCATATTTCCATTCAAGTCACAGAGTGGAACATTCCCATTCATAGAGCAGGTTGGAAACACTCTTTTTGGAGTATCTGGAAGTGGACATTTGGAGCGCTTTCTGAACTATGGTGAAAAAGGAAATATCTTCCAATGAAAACAAGACAGAAGCATTCTGAGAAACTTATTTGTGATGTGTGTCCTCAACAAACGGACTTGAACCTTTCGTTTCATGCAGTACTTCTGGAACACTCTTTTTGAAGATTCTGCATGCGGATATTTGGATAGCTTTGAGGATTTCGTTGGAAACGGGCTTACATGTAAAAATTAGACAGCAGCATTCTCAGAAACTTCTTTGTGGTGTCTGCATTCAAGTCACAGAATTGAACTTCCCCTCACATAGAGCAGTTGTGCAGCACTCTATTTGTAGTATCTGGAAGTGGACATTTGGAGGGCTTTGTAGCCTATCTGGAAAAAGGAAATATCTTCCCATGAATGCGAGATAGAAGTAATCTCAGAAACATGTTTATGCTGTATCTACTCAACTAACTGTGCTGAACATTTCTATTGATAGAGCAGTTTTGAGACACTCTTCTTTTGGAATCTGCAAGTGGATATTTGGATAGATTTGAGGATTTCGTTGGAAACGGGATTATATATAAAAAGTAGACAGCAGCATTCTCAGAAACTTCTTTGTGATGTTTGCATCCAGCTCTCAGAGTTGAACATTCCCTTTCATAGAGTAGGTTTGAAACCCTCTTTTTATAGTGTCTGGAAGCGGGCATTTGGAGCGCTTTCAGGCCTATGCTGAAAAAGGAAATATCTACCTATAGAAACTAGACAGAAGCATTCTGAGAATCACGTTTGTGATGTGGGTACTCAACTAACAGTGTTGATCCATTCTTTTGATACAGCAGTTTTGAACCACACTTTTTGTAGAATCTGCAAGTGGATATTTGGATAGCTGTGAGGATTTCGTTGGAAACGGGAATGTCTTCATAGAAAATTTAGACAGAAGCATTCTCAGAACCTTGATTGTGATGTGTGTTCTCCACTAACAGAGTTGAACCTTTCTTTTGACAGAACTGTTCTGAAACATTCTTTTTATAGAATCTGGAAGTGGATATTTGGAAAGCTTTGAGGATTTCGTTGGAAACGGGAATATCTTCAAATCAAATCTAGCCAGAAGCATTCTAAGAAACATCTTAGGGATGTTTACATTCAAGTCACAGAGTTGAACATTCCCTTTCACAGAGCAGGTTTGAAACAATCTTCTCGTACTATCTGGCAGTGGACATTTTGAGCTCCTTGGGGCCTATGCTGAAAAAGGAAATATCTTCCGACAAAAACTAGACAGAAGCATTCGCAGAATCACGTTTGTGATGTGTGCACTCAACTGTCAGAATTGAACCTTGGTTTGGACAGAGCACTTTTGAAACACTCTTTTTGTAGAATCTGCAGGTGGATATTTGGCTAGCTTTGAGGATTTCGTTGGAAACGGTAATGTCTTCAAAGAAAATCTAGACAGAAGCATTCTCAGAAACACCTTCGTGATGTTTGCAATCAAGTCACAGAGTTGAACCTTCCGTTTCATAGAGCAGGTTGGAAACACTCTTATTGTAGTATCTGGAAGTGGACATTTGGAGCGCTTTCAGGCCTATGGTGAAAAAGGAAATATCTTCCCATAAAAACGACATAGAAGCTATCTCAGGAACTTGTTTATGATGCATCTAATCAACTAACAGTGTTGAACCTTTGTACTGACAGAGCAGTTTGAAACACTCTTTTTTTGGAATCTGCAAGTGGATATTTGGATCGCTTTGAGGATTTCGTTGGAAACGGGATGCAATATAAAACGTACACAGCAGCATACTCAGAAAATACTTTGCCATATTTCCATTCAAGTCACAGAGTGGAACATTCCCATTCATAGAGCAGGTTGGAAACACTCTTTTTGGAGTATCTGGAAGTGGACATTTGGAGCGCTTTCTGAACTATGGTGAAAAAGGAAATATCTTCCAATGAAAACAACACAGAAGCATTCTGAGAAACTTATTTGTGATGTGTGTCCTCAACAAACGGACTTGAACCTTTCGTTTCATGCAGTACTTCTGGAACACTCTTTTTGAAGATTCTGCATGCGGATATTTGGATAGCTTTGAGGATTTCGTTGGAAACGGGCTTACATGTAAAAATTAGACAGCAGCATTCTCAGAAACTTCTCTGTGGTGTCTGCATCCAAGTCACAGAATTGAACATCCCCTCACATAGAGCAGTTGTGCAGCACTCTATTTGTAGTATCTCGAAGTGGACATTTGGAGGGCTTTGTAGCCTATCTGGAAAAAGGAAATATCTTCCCATGAATGCGAGATAGAAGTAATCTCAGAAACATGTTTATGCTGTATCTACTCAACTAACTGTGCTGAACATTTCTATTGATAGAGCAGTTTTGAGACACTCTTCTTTTGGAATCTGCAAGTGGATATTTGGATAGATTTGAGGATTTCGTTGGAAACGGGATTATATATAAAAAGTAGACAGCAGCATTCTCAGAAACTTCTTTGTGATGTTTGCATCCAGCTCTCAGAGTTGAACATTCCCTTTCATAGAGTAGGTTTGAAACCCTCTTTTTATAGTGTCTGGAAGCGGGCATTTGGAGCGCTTTCAGGCCTATGCTGAAAAAGGAAATATCTACCTATAGAAACTAGACAGAAGCATTCTGAGAATCACGTTTGTGATGTGGGTACTCAACTAACAGTGTTGATCCATTCTTTTGATACAGCAGTTTTGAACCACACTTTTTGTAGAATCTGCAAGTGGATATTTGGATAGCTGTGAGGATTTCGTTGGAAACGGGAATGTCTTCATAGAAAATTTAGACAGAAGCATTCTCAGAACCTTGATTGTGATGTGTGTTCTCCACTAACAGGGTTGAACCTTTCTTTTGACAGAACTGTTCTGAAACATTCTTTGTATAGAATCTGGAAGTGGATATTTGGAAAGCTTTGAGGATTTCGTTGGAAACGGGAATATCTTCAAATCAAATCTAGCCAGAAGCATTCTAAGAAACATCTTAGGGATGTTTACATTCAAGTCACAGAGTTGAACATTCCCTTTCACAGAGCAGGTTTGAAACAATCTTCTCGTACTATCTGGAAGTGGACATTTTGAGCTCCTTGGGGCCTATGCTGAAAAAGGAAATATCTTCCGACAAAAACTAGACAGAAGCATTCGCAGAATCACGTTTGTGATGTGTGCACTCAACGGTCAGAATTGAACCTTTGTTTGGACAGAGCACTTTTGAAACACTCTTTTTGTAGAATCTGCAGGTGGATATTTGACTAGCTTTGAGGATTTCGTTGGAAACGGTAATGTCTTCAAAGAAAATCTAGACAGAAACATTCTCAGAAACACCTTCGTGATGTTTGCAATCAAGTCACAGAGTTGAACCTTCCGTTTCGTAGAGCAGGTTGGAAACACTCTTTTTGTAGTATCTGGAAGTGGACATTTGGAGCGCTTTCAGGCCTATGGCGAAGAAGGAAATATCTTACCATAAAAACGACATAGAAGCTATCTCAGGAACTTGTTTATGATGCATCTAATCAACTAACAGTGTTGAACCTTTGTACTGACAGAGCACTTTGAAACACTCTTTTTTTGGAATCTGCAAGTGGATATTTGGATCGCTTTGAGGATTTCGTTGGAAACGGGATGCAATATAAAACGTACACAGCAGCATACTCAGAAAATACTTTGCCATATTTCCATTCAAGTCACAGAGTGGAACATTCCCATTCATAGAACAGGTTGGAAACACTCCTTTTGTAGTATCTGGAAGTGGACATTTGGAGCGCTTTCTGAACTATGGTGAAAAAGGAAATATCTTCGAATGAAAACAAGACAGAAGCATTCTGAGAAACTTATTTGTGATGTGTGTCCTCAACAAACGGACTTGAACCTTTCGTTTCATGCAGTACTTCTGGAACACTCTTTTTGAAGATTCTGCATGCGGATATTTGGATAGCTTTGAGGATTTCGTTGGAAACGGGCTTACATGTAAAAATTAGACAGCAGCATTCTCAGAAACTTCTTTGTGGTGTCTGCATTCAAGTCACAGAATTGAACATCCCCTCACATAGAGCAGTTGTGCAGCACTCTATTTGTAGTATCTGGAAGTGGACATTTGGAGGGCTTTGTAGCCTATCTGGAAAAAGGAAATATCTTCCCATGAATGCGAGATAGAAGTAATCTCAGAAACATGTTTATGCTGTATCTACTCAACTAACTGTGCTGAACATTTCTATTGATAGAGCAGTTTTGAGACACTCTCCTGTTGGAATCTGCAAGTGGATATTTGGATAGATTTGAGGATTTCCTTGGAAACGGGATTATATATCAAAAGTAGACAGCAGCATTCTCAGAAACTTCTTTGTGAGTTTTGCATCCAGCTCTCAGAGTTGAACATTCCCTTTGGTGGAGTAGGTTTGAAACCCTCTTTTTATAGTGTCTGGAAGCGGGCATTTGGAGCGCTTTCAGGCCTATGCTGAAAAAGGAAATATCTACCTATAGAAACTAGACAGAAGCATTCTGAGAATCACGTTTGTGATGTGGGTACTCAACTAACAGTGTTGATCCATTCTTTTGATACAGCAGTTTTGAACCACACTTTTTGTAGAATCTGCAAGTGGATATTTGGATAGCTGTGAGGATTTCGTTGGAAACGGGAATGTCTTCATAGAAAATGTAGACAGAAGCATTCTCAGAACCTTGATTGTGATGTGTGTTCTCCACTAACAGAGTTGAACCTTTCTTTTGACAGAACTGTTCTGAAACATTCTTTTTATAGAATCTGGAAGTGGATATTTGGAAAGCTTTGAGGATTTCGTTGGAAACGGGAATATCTTCAAATAAAATCTAGCCAGAAGCATTCTAAGAAACATCTTAGGGATGTTTACATTCAAGTCACAGAGTTGAACATTCCCTTTCACAGCGCAGGTTTGAAACAATCTTCTCGTACTATCTGGAAGTGGACATTTTGAGCTCCTTGGGGCCTATGCTGAGAAAGGAAATAGCTTTCGACAAAAACTAGACAGAAGCATTCGCAGAATCACGTTTGTGATGTGTGCACTCAACTGTCAGAATTGAACCTTGGTTTGGACAGAGCACTTTTGAAACACTCTTTTTGTAGAATCTGCAGGTGGATATTTGGCTAGCTTTGAGGATTTCGATGGAAACGCTAATGTCTTCAAAGAAAATCTAGACAGAAACATTCTCAGAAACACCTTCGTGATGTTTGCAATCAAGTCACAGAGTTGAACCTTCCGTTTCATAGAGCAGGTTGCAAACACTCTTTTTGTAGTATCTGGAAGTGGACATTTGGAGCGCTTTCAGGCCTATGGTGAAAAAGGAAATATCTTCCAATAAAAACGACATAGAAGCTATCTCAGGAACTTGTTTATGATGCATCCAATCAACTAACAGTGTTGAACATTTGTACTGACAGAGCAGTGTGAAACACTCTTTTTTTTGGAATCTGCAAGTGGATATTAGGATCGCTTTGAGGATTTCGTTGGAAACGGGATGCAATATAAAACGTACACAGCAGCATACTCAGAAAATACTTTGCCATATTTCCATTCAAGTCACAGAGTGGAACATTCCCATTCATAGAACAGG
This sequence comes from Homo sapiens, assembly GCF_000001405.40. NCBI lineage: Eukaryota > Metazoa > Chordata > Mammalia > Primates > Hominidae > Homo > Homo sapiens. The sequence goes on from NC_000008.11 coordinate 45,758,836, forward strand.
TTGGAAACACTCCTTTTGTAGTATCTGGAAGTGGACATTTGGAGCGCTTTCTGAACTATGGTGAAAAAGGAAATATCTTCGAATGAAAACAAGACAGAAGCATTCAGAGAAACTTATTTGTGATGTGTGTCCTCAACAAACGGACTTGAACCTTTCATTTCATGCAGTACTTCTGGAACACTCTTTTTGAAGATTCTGCATGCGGATATTTGGATAGCTTTGAGGATTTCGTTGGAAACGGGCTTACATGTAAAAATTAGACAGCCAGCATTCTCAGAAACTTCTTTGTGGTGTCTGCATTCAAGTCACAGAATTGAAAATCCCCTCACATAGAGCAGTTGTGCAGCACTCTATCTGTAGTATCTCGAAGTGGATATTTGGAGGGCTTTGTAGCCTATCTGGAAAAAGGAAATATCTTCCCATGAATGCGAGATAGAGTAATCTCAGAAACATGTTTATGCTGTATCTACTCAACTAACTGTGCTGAACATTTCTATTGATAGAGCAGTTTTCAGACACTCTTCTTTTGGAATCTGCAAGTGGATATTTGGATAGATTTGAGGATTTCGTTGGAAACGGGATTATATATAAAAAGTAGACAGCAGCATTCTCAGAAACTTCTTTGTGATGTTTGCATCCAGCTCTCAGAGTTGAACATTCCCTTTCATAGAGTAGGTTTGAAACCCTCTTTTTATAGTGTCTGGAAGCGGGCATTTGGAGCGCTTTCAGGCCTATGCTTAAAATAGGAAATATCTACCTACAGAAACTAGACAGAAGCATTCTGAGAATCACGTTTGTGATGTGGGTACTCAACTAACAGTGTTGATCCATTCTTTTGATACAGCAGTTTTGAACCACACTTTTTGTAGAATCTGCAAGAGGATATTTGGATAGCTGTGAGGATTTCGTTGGAAACGGGAATGTCTTCAAAGAAAATCTAGACAGAAGCATTCTCAGAACCTTGATTGTGATGTGTGTTCTCCACTAACAGAGTTGAACCTTTCTTTTGACAGAACTGTTCTGAAACATTCTTTTTATAGAATCTGGAAGTGGATATTTGGAAAGCTTTGAGGATTTCGTTGGAAACGGGAATATCTTCAAATCAAATCTAGCCAGAAGCATTCTAAGAAACATCTTAGGGATGTTTACATTCAAGTCACAGAGTTGAACATTCCCTTTCACAGAGCAGGTTTGAAACAATCTTCTCGTACTATCTGGCAGTGGACATTTTGAGCTCCTTGGGGCCTATGCTGAAAAAGGAAATATCTTCCGACAAAAACTAGACAGAAGCATTCGCAGAATCACGTTTGTGATGTGTGCACTCAACTGTCAGAATTGAACCTTGGTTTGGACAGAGCACTTTTGAAACACTCTTTTTGTAGAATCTGCAGGTGGATATTTGGCTAGCTTTGAGGATTTCGTTGGAAACGGTAATGTCTTCAAAGAAAATCTAGACAGAAGCATTCTCAGAAACACCTTCGTGATGTTTGCAATCAAGTCACAGAGTTGAACCTTCCGTTTCATAGAGCAGGTTGGAAACACACTTTTTGTAGTATCTGGAAGTGGACATTTGGAGGGCTTTGTAGCCTATCTGGAAAAAGGAAATATCTTCCCATGAATGCGAGATAGAAGCTATCTCAGGAACTTGTTTATGATGCATCCAATCAACTAACAGTGTTGAACCTTTGTACTGACAGAGCAGTGTGAAACACTCTTTTTTTTGGAATCTGCAAGTGGATATTTGGATCGCTTTGAGGATTTCGTTGGAAACGGGATGCAATATAAAACGTACACAGAAGCATACTCAGAAAATACGTTGCCATATTTCCATTCAAGTCACAGAGTGGAACATTCCCATTCATAGAGCAGGTTTGACACACTCTTTTTGTAGTATCTGGAAGTGGACATTTGGAGCGCTTTCTGAACTATGGTGAAAAAGGAAATATCTTCCAATGAAAACAAGACAGAAGCATTCTGAGAAACTTATTTGTGATGTGTGTCCTCAACAAACGGACTTGAACCTTTCGTTTCATGCAGTACTTCTGGAACACTCTTTTTGAAGATTCTGCATGCGGATATTTGGATAGCTTTGAGGATTTCGTTGGAAACGGCCTTACATGTAAAAATTAGACAGCAGCATTCTCAGAAACTTCTTTGTGGTGTCTGCATTCAAGTCACAGAATTGAACTTCACCTCACATAGAGCAGTTGTGCAGCACTCTATTTGTAGTATCTGGAAGTGGACATTTGGAGGGCTTTGTAGCCTATCTGGAAAAAGGAAATATCTTCCCATGAATGCGAGATAGTAGTAATCTCAGAAACATGTTTATGCTGTATCTACTCAACTAACTGTGCTGAACATTTCTATTGATAGAGCAGTTTTGAGACACTCTTCTTTTGGAATCTGCAAGTGGATATTTGGATAGATTTGAGGATTTCGTTGGAAACGGGATTATATATCAAAAGTAGACAGCCAGCATTCTCAGAAACTTCTTTGTGATGTTTGCATCCAGCTCTCAGAGTTGAACATTCCCTTTCATAGAGTAGGTTTGAAACCCTCTTTTTATAGTGTCTGGAAGCGGGCATTTGGAGCGCTTTCAGGCCTATGCTGAAAAAGGAAATATCTACCTATAGAAACTAGACAGAGCATTCTGAGAATCACGTTTGTGATGTGGGTACTCAACTAACAGTGTTGATCCATTCTTTTGATACAGCAGTTTTGAACCACACTTTTTGTAGAATCTGCAAGAGGATATTTGGATAGCTGTGAGGATTTCGTTGGAAACGGGAATGTCTTCAAAGAAAATCTAGACAGAAGCATTCTCAGAACCTTGATTGTGATGTGTGTTCTCCACTAACAGAGTTGAACCTTTCTTTTGACAGAACTGTTCTGAAACATTCTTTTTATAGAATCTGGAAGTGGATATTTGGAAAGCTTTGAGGATTTCGTTGGAAACGGGAATATCTTCAAATAAAATCTAGCCAGAAGCATTCTAAGAAACATCTTAGGGATGTTTACATTCAAGTCACAGAGTTGAACATTCCCTTTCACAGAGCAGGTTTGAAACAATCTTCTCGTACTATCTGGCAGTGGACATTTTGAGCTCCTTGGGGCCTATGCTGAAAAAGGAAATATCTTCCGACAAAAACTAGACAGAAGCATTCGCAGAATCACGTTTGTGATGTGTGCACTCAACTGTCAGAATTGAACCTTGGTTTGGACAGAGCACTTTTGAAACACTCTTTTTGTAGAATCTGCAGGTGGATATTTGGCTAGCTTTGAGGATTTCGTTGGAAACGGTAATGTCTTCAAAGAAAATCTAGACAGAAGCATTCTGAGGAACACCTTCGTGATGTTTGCAATCAAGTCACAGAGTTGAACCTTCCGTTTCATAGAGCAGGTTGGAAACACTCTTATTGTAGTATCTGGAAGTGGACATTTGGAGCGCTTTCAGGCCTATGGTGAAAAAGGAAATATCTTCCCATAAAAACGACATAGAAGCTATCTCAGGAACTTGTTTATGAGGCATCTAATCAACTAACAGTGTTGAACCTTTGTACTGACAGAGCAGTTTGAAACACTCTTTTTTTGGAATCTGCAAGTGGATATTTGGATCGCTTTGAGGATTTCGTTGGAAACGGGATGCAATATAAAACGTACACAGCAGCATACTCAGAAAATACTTTGCCATATTTCCATTCAAGTCACAGAGTGGAACATTCCCATTCATAGAGCAGGTTTGAAACACTCTTTTTGGAGTATCTGGAAGTGGACATTTGGAGCGCTTTCTGAACTATGGTGAAAAAGGAAATATCTTCCAATGAAAACAAGACAGAAGCATTCTGAGAAACTTATTTGTGATGTGTGTCCTCAACAAACGGACTTGAACCTTTCGTTTCATGCAGTACTTCTGGAACACTCTTTTTGAAGATTCTGCATGCGGATATTTGGATAGCTTTGAGGATTTCGTTGGAAACGGGCTTACATGTAAAAATTAGACAGCAGCATTCTCAGAAACTTCTTTGTGGTGTCTGCATTCAAGTCACAGAATTGAACTTCCCCTCACATAGAGCAGTTGTGCAGCACTCTATTTGTAGTATCTGGAAGTGGACATTTGGAGGGCTTTGTAGCCTATCTGGAAAAAGGAAATATCTTCCCATGAATGCGAGATAGAAGTAATCTCAGGAAACATGTTTATGCTGTATCTACTCAACTAACTGTGCTGAACATTTCTATTGATAGAGCAGTTTTGAGACACTCTTCTTTTGGAATCTGCAAGTGGATATTTGGATAGATTTGAGGATTTCGTTGGAAACGGGATTATATATCAAAAGTAGACAGCAGCATTCTCAGAAACTTCTTTGTGATGTTTGCATCCAGCTCTCAGAGTTGAACATTCCCTTTCATAGAGTAGGTTTGAAACCCTCTTTTTATAGTGTCTGGAAGCGGGCATTTGGAGCGCTTTCAGGCCTATGCTTAAAATAGGAAATATCTACCTACAGAAACTAGACAGAAGCATTCTGAGAATCACGTTTGTGATGTGGGTACTCAACTAACAGTGTTGATCCATTCTTTTGATACAGCAGTTTTGAACCACACTTTTTGTAGAATCTGCAAGAGGATATTTGGATAGCTGTGAGGATTTCGTTGGAAACGGGAATGTCTTCAAAGAAAATCTAGACAGAAGCATTCTCAGAACCTTGATTGTGATGTGTGTTCTCCACTAACAGGGTTGAACCTTTCTTTTGACAGAACTGTTCTGAAACATTCTTTGTATAGAATCTGGAAGTGGATATTTGGAAAGCTTTGAGGATTTCGTTTGAAACGGGAATATCTTCAAATCAAATCTAGCCAGAAGCATTCTAAGAAACATCTTAGGGATGTTTACATTCAAGTCACAGAGTTGAACATTCCCTTTCACAGAGCAGGTTTGAAACAATCTTCTCGTACTATCTGGAAGTGGACATTTTGAGCTCCTTGGGGCCTATGCTGAAAAAGGAAATATCTTCCGACAAAAACTAGACAGAAGCATTCGCAGAATCACGTTTGTGATGTGTGCACTCAACTGTCAGAATTGAACCTTGGTTTGGACAGAGCACTTTTGAAACACTCTTTTTGTAGAATCTGCAGGTGGATATTTGGCTACCTTTGAGGATTTCGTTGGAAACGGTAATGTCTTCAAAGAAAATCTAGACAGAAGCATTCTCAGAAACACCTTCGTGATGTTTGCAATCAAGTCACAGAGTTGAACCTTCCGTTTCATAGAGCAGGTTGGAAACACTCTTATTGTAGTATCTGGAAGTGGACATTTGGAGCGCTTTCAGGCCTATGGTGAAAAAGGAAATATCTTCCCATAAAAACGACATAGAAGCTATCTCAGGAACTTGTTTATGAGGCATCTAATCAACTAACAGTGTTGAACCTTTGTACTGACAGAGCAGTTTGAAACACTCTTTTTTTGGAATCTGCAAGTGGATATTTGGATCGCTTTGAGGATTTCGTTGGAAACGGGATGCAATATAAAACGTACACAGCAGCATACTCAGAAAATACTTTGCCATATTTCCATTCAAGTCACAGAGTGGAACATTCCCATTCATAGAGCAGGTTTGAAACACTCTTTTTGGAGTATCTGGAAGTGGACATTTGGAGCGCTTTCTGAACTATGGTGAAAAAGGAAATATCTTCCAATGAAAACAAGACAGAAGCATTCTGAGAAACTTATTTGTGATGTGTGTCCTCAACAAACGGACTTGAACCTTTCGTTTCATGCAGTACTTCTGGAACACTCTTTTTGAAGATTCTGCATGCGGATATTTGGATAGCTTTGAGGATTTCGTTGGAAACGGGCTTACATGTAAAAATTAGACAGCAGCATTCTCAGAAACTTCTTTGTGGTGTCTGCATTCAAGTCACAGAATTGAACTTCCCCTCACATAGAGCAGTTGTGCAGCACTCTATTTGTAGTATCTGGAAGTGGACATTTGGAGGGCTTTGTAGCCTATCTGGAAAAAGGAAATATCTTCCCATGAATGCGAGATAGAAGTAATCTCAGAAACATGTTTATGCTGTATCTACTCAACTAACTGTGCTGAACATTTCTATTGATAGAGCAGTTTTGAGACACTCTTCTTTTGGAATCTGCAAGTGGATATTTGGATAGATTTGAGGATTTCGTTGGAAACGGGATTATATATCAAAAGTAGACAGCAGCATTCTCAGAAACTTCTTTGTGATGTTTGCATCCAGCTCTCAGAGTTGAACATTCCCTTTCATAGAGTAGGTTTGAAACCCTCTTTTTATAGTGTCTGGAAGCGGGCATTTGGAGCGCTTTCAGGCCTATGCTGAAAAAGGAAATATCTACCTATAGAAACTAGACAGAAGCATTCTGAGAATCACGTTTGTGATGTGGGTACTCAACTAACAGTGTTGATCCATTCTTTTGATACAGCAGTTTTGAACCACACTTTTTGTAGAATCTGCAAGTGGATATTTGGATAGCTGTGAGGATTTCGTTGGAAACGGGAATGTCTTCATAGAAAATTTAGACAGAAGCATTCTCAGAACCTTGATTGTGATGTGTGTTCTCCACTAACAGAGTTGAACCTTTCTTTTGACAGAACTGTTCTGAAACATTCTTTTTATAGAATCTGGAAGTGGATATTTGGAAAGCTTTGAGGATTTCGTTGGAAACGGGAATATCTTCAAATCAAATCTAGCCAGAAGCATTCTAAGAAACATCTTAGGGATGTTTACATTCAAGTCACAGAGTTGAACATTCCCTTTCACAGAGCAGGTTTGAAACAATCTTCTCGTACTATCTGGCAGTGGACATTTTGAGCTCCTTGGGGCCTATGCTGAAAAAGGAAATATCTTCCGACAAAAACTAGACAGAAGCATTCGCAGAATCACGTTTGTGATGTGTGCACTCAACTGTCAGAATTGAACCTTGGTTTGGACAGAGCACTTTTGAAACACTCTTTTTGTAGAATCTGCAGGTGGATATTTGGCTAGCTTTGAGGATTTCGTTGGAAACGGTAATGTCTTCAAAGAAAATCTAGACAGAAGCATTCTCAGAAACACCTTCGTGATGTTTGCAATCAAGTCACAGAGTTGAACCTTCCGTTTCATAGAGCAGGTTGGAAACACTCTTATTGTAGTATCTGGAAGTGGACATTTGGAGCGCTTTCAGGCCTATGGTGAAAAAGGAAATATCTTCCCATAAAAACGACATAGAAGCTATCTCAGGAACTTGTTTATGATGCATCTAATCAACTAACAGTGTTGAAACTTTGTACTGACAGAGCAGTTTGAAACACTCTTTTTTTGGAATCTGCAAGTGGATATTTGGATCGCTTTGAGGATTTCGTTGGAAACGGGATGCAATATAAAACGTACACAGCAGCATACTCAGAAAATACTTTGCCATATTTCCATTCAAGTCACAGAGTGGAACATTCCCATTCATAGAGCAGGTTGGAAACACTCTTTTTGGAGTATCTGGAAGTGGACATTTGGAGCGCTTTCTGAACTATGGTGAAAAAGGAAATATCTTCCAATGAAAACAAGACAGAAGCATTCTGAGAAAATTGTTTGTGATGTTTGTCCTCAACTAACGGACTTGAACCTTTCGTTTCATGCAGTACCTCTGGAACACTCTTTTTGAAGATTCTGCATGCGGATATTTGGATAGCTTTGAGGATTTCGTTGGAAAAGGGCTTACATATAAAAATTAGACAGCAGCATTCTCAGAAACTTCTCTGTGGTGTCTGCATCCAAGTCACAGAATTGAACATCCCCTCACATAGAGCAGTTGTGCAGCACTCTATTTGTAGTATCTCGAATTGGACATTTGGAGGGCTTTGTAGCCTATCTGGAAAAAGGAAATATCTTCCCATGAATGCGAGATAGAAGTAATCTCAGAAACATGTTTATGCTGTATCTACTCAACTAACTGTGCTGAACATTTCTATTGATAGAGCAGTTTTGAGACACTCTTCTTTTGGAATCTGCAAGTGGATATTTGGATAGATTTGAGGATTTCGTTGGCAACGGGATTATATATAAATAGTAGACAGCCGCATTCTCAGAAACTTCTTTGTGATGTTTGCATCCAGCTCTCAGAGTTGAACATTCCCTTTCGTAGAGTAGGTTTGAAACCCTCTTTTTATAGTGTCTGGAAGCGGGCATTTGGAGCGCTTTCAGGCCTATGCTGAAAAAGGAAATATCTACCTATAGAAACTAGACAGAAGCATTCTGAGAATCACGTTTGTGATGTGGGTACTCAACTAACAGTGTTGATCCATTCTTTTGATACAGCAGTTTTGAACCACACTTTTTGTAGAATCTGCAAGTGGATATTTGGATAGCTGTGAGGATTTCCTTGGAAACGGGAATGCCTTCATAGAAAATTTAGACAGAAGCATTCTCAGAACCTTGATTGTGATGTGTGTTCTCCACTAACAGAGTTGAACCTTTCTTTTGACAGAACTGTTCTGAAACATTCTTTTTATAGAATCTGGAAGTGGATATTTGGAAAGCTTTGAGGATTTCGTTGGAAACGGGAATATCTTCAAATAAAATCTAGCCAGAAGCATTCTAAGAAACATCTTAGGGATGTTTACATTCAAGTCACAGAGTTGAACATTCCCTTTCACAGAGCAGGTTTGAAACAATCTTCTCGTACTATCTGGCAGTGGACATTTTGAGCTCTTTGGGGCCTATGCTGAAAAAGGAAATATCTTCCGACAAAAACTAGACAGAAGCATTCGCAGAATCACGTTTGTGATGTGTGCACTCAACTGTCAGAATTGAACCTTGGTTTGGACAGAGCACTTTTGAAACACTCTTTTTGTAGAATCTGCAGGTGGATATTTGGCTAGCTTTGAGGATTTCGTTGGAAACGGTAATGACTTCAAAGAAAATCTAGACAGAAACATTCTCAGAAACACCTTCGTGATGTTTGCAATCAAGTCACAGAGTTGAACCTTCCGTTTCATAGAGCAGGTTGGAAACACTCTTTTTGTAGTATCTGGAAGTGGACATTTGGAGCGCTTTCAGGCCTATGGTGAAAAAGGAAATAACTTCCCATAAAAACGACATAGAAGCTATCTCAGGAACTTGTTTATGATGCATCCAATCAACTAACAGTGTTGAACCTTTGTACTGACAGAGCAGTGTGAAACACTCTTTTTTTTGGAATCTGCAAGTGTATATTTGGATCGCTTTGAGGATTTCGTTGGAAACGGGATGCAATATAAAACGTACACAGCAGCATACTCAGAAAATACTTTGCCATATTTCCATTCAAGTCACAGAGTGGAACATTCCCATTCATAAAGCAGGTTGGAAACACTCCTTTTGTAGTATCTGGAAGTGGACATTTGGAGCGCTTTCTGAACTATGGTGAAAAAGGAAATATCTTCCAATGAAAACAAGACAGAAGCATTCTGAGAAACTTATTTGTGATGCGTGTCCTCAACTAACGGACTCGAAGCTTTCGTTTCATGCAGTACTTCTGGAACACTCTTTTTGAAGATTCTGCATGCGGATATTTGGTTAGCTTTGAGGATTTCGTTGGAAACGGGCTTACATATAAAAATTAGACAGCAGCATTCTCAGAAACTTCTTTGTGGTGTCTGCATTCAAGTCACAGAATTGAACATCCCCTCACATAGAGCAGTTGTGCAGCACTCTATTTGTAGTATCTCGAAGTGGACATTTGGAGGGCTTTGTAGCCTATCTGGAAAAAGGAAATATCTTCCCATGAATGCGAGATAGAAGTAATCTCAGAAACATGTTTATGCTGTATCTACTAAACTAACTGTGCTGAACATTTCTATTGATAGAGCAGTTTTGAGACACTCTTCTTTTGGAATCTGCTAGTGGATATTTGGATAGATTTGAGGATTTCATTGGAAACGGGATTATATATAAAAAGTAGACAGCCGCATTCTCAGAAACTTCTTTGTGATGTTTGCATCCAGCTCTCAGAGTTGAACATTCCCTTTCGTAGAGTTGGTTTGAAACCCTCTTTTTATAGTGTCTGGAAGCGGGCATTTGGAGCGCTTTCAGGCCTATGCTGAAAAAGGAAATATCTACCTATAGAAACTAGACAGAAGCATTCTGAGAATCACGTTTGTGATGTGGGTACTCAACTAACAGTGTTGATCCATTCTTTTGATACAGCAGTTTTGAACCACACTTTTTGTAGAATCTGCAAGTGGATATTTGGATAGCTGTGAGGATTTCGTTGGAAACGGGAATGTCTTCATAGAAAATTTAGACAGAAGCATTCTCAGAACCTTGATTGTGATGTGTGTTCTCCACTAACAGAGTTGAACCTTTCTTTTGACAGAACTGTTCTGAAACATTCTTTTTATAGAATCTGGAAGTGGATATTTGGAAAGCTTTGAGGATTTCGTTGGAAACGGGAATATCTTCAAATAAAATCTAGCCAGAAGCATTCTAAGAAACATCTTAGGGATGTTTACATTCAAGTCACAGAGTTGAACATTCCCTTTCACGGAGCAGGTTTGAAACAATCTTCTCGTACTATCTGGCAGTGGACATTTTGAGCTCTTTGGGGCCTATGCTGAAAAAGGAAATATCTTCCGACAAAAACTAGACAGAAGCATTCGCAGAATCACGTTTGTGATGTGTGCACTCAACTGTCAGAATTGAACCTTGGTTTGGAGAGAGCACTTTTGAAACACTCTTTTTGTAGAATCTGCAGGTGGATATTTGGCTAGCTTTGAGGATTTCGTTGGAAACGGTAATGTCTTCAAAGAAAATCTAGACAGAAGCATTCTCAGAAACACCTTCGTGATGTTTGCAATCAAGTCACAGAGTTGAACCTTCCGTTTCATAGAGCAGGTTGGAAACACTCATTTTGTAGTATCTGGAAGTGGACATTTGGAGCGCTTTCAGGCCTATGGTGTAAAAGGAAATATCTTCCCATAAAAGCGACATAGAAGCTATCTCAGGAACTTGTTTATGATGCATCTAATCAACTAACAGTGTTGAACCTTTGTACTGACAGAGCAGTTTGAAACACTCTTTTTTTGGAATCTGCAAGTGGATATTTGTATCACTTTGAGGATTTCGTTGGAAACAGGATGCAATATAAAACTTACACAGCAGCATACTCAGAAAATACTTTGCCATATTTCCATTCAAGTCACAGAGTGGAACATTCCCATTCATAGAGCAGGTTGGAAACACTCTTTTTGGAGTATCTGGAAGTGGACATTTGGAGCGCTTTCTGAACTATGGTGAAAAAGGAAATATCTTCCAATGAAAACAAGACAGAAGCATTCTGAGAAACTTATTTGTGATGTGTGTCCTCAACTAACGGACTTGAACCTTTCGTTTCATGCAGTACTTCTGGAACACTCTTTTTGAAGATTCTGCATGCGGATATTTGGATAGCTTTGAGGATTTCGTTGGAAACGGGCTTACATATAAAAATTAGACAGCAGCATTCTCAGTAAACTTCTTTGTGGTGTCTGCATTCAAGTCACAGAATTGAACTTCCCCTCACATAGAGCAGTTGTGCAGCACTCTATTTGTAGTATCTGGAAGTGGACATTTGGAGGGCTTTGTAGCCTATCTGGAAAAAGGAAATATCTTCCCATGAATGCGAGATAGAAGTAATCTCAGAAACATGTTTATGCTGTATCTACTCAACTAACTGTGCTGAACATTTCTATTGATAGAGCAGTTTTGAGACACTCTTCTTTTGGAATCTGCAAGTGGATATTTGGATAGATTTGAGGATTTCGTTGGAAACGGGATTATATATAAAAAGTAGACAGCAGCATTCTCAGAAACTTCTTTGTGATGTTTGCATCCAGCTCTCAGAGTTGAACATTCCCTTTCATAGAGTAGGTTTGAAACCCTCTTTTTATAGTGTCTGGAAGCGGGCATTTGGAGCGCTTTCAGGCCTATGCTGAAAAAGGAAATATCTACCTATAGAAACTAGACAGAAGCATTCTGAGAATCACGTTTGTGATGTGGGTACTCAACTAACAGTGTTGATCCATTCTTTTGATACAGCAGTTTTGAACCACACTTTTTGTAGAATCTGCAAGTGGATATTTGGATAGCTGTGAGGATTTCGTTGGAAACGGGAATGTCTTCATAGAAAATTTAGACAGAAGCATTCTCAGAACCTTGATTGTGATGTGTGTTCTCCACTAACAGAGTTGAACCTTTCTTTTGACAGAACTGTTCTGAAACATTCTTTTTATAGAATCTGGAAGTGGATATTTGGAAAGCTTTGAGGATTTCGTTGGAAACGGGAATATCTTCAAATAAAATCTAGCCAGAAGCATTCTAAGAAACATCTTAGGGATGTTTACATTCAAGTCACAGAGTTGAACATTCCCTTTCACAGAGCAGGTTTGAAACAATCTTCTCGTACTATCTGGCAGTGGACATTTTGAGCTCCTTGGGGCCTATGCTGAAAAAGGAAATATCTTCCGACAAAAACTAGACAGAAGCATTCGCAGAATCACGTTTGTGATGTGTGCACTCAACTGTCAGAATTGAACCTTGGTTTGGAGAGAGCACTTTTGAAACACTCTTTTTGTAGAATCTGCAGGTGGATATTTGGCTAGCTTTGAGGATTTCGTTGGAAACGGTAATGTCTTCAAAGAAAATCTAGACAGAAGCATTCTCAGAAATACCTTCGTGATGTTTGCAATCAAGTCACAGAGTTGAACCTTCCGTTTCATAGAGCAGGTTGGAAACACTCTTATTGTAGTATCTGGAAGTGGACATTTGGAGCGCTTTCAGGCCTATGGTGAAAAAGGAAATATCTTCCCATAAAAACGATATAGAAGCTATCTCAGGAACTTGTTTATGATGCATCCAATCAACTAACAGTGTTGAACATTTGTACTGACAGAGCAGTGTGAAACACTCTTTTTTTTGGAATCTGCAAGTGGATATTAGGATCGCTTTGAGGATTTCGTTGGAAACGGGATGCAATATAAAACGTACACAGCAGCATACTCAGAAAATACTTTGCCATATTTCCATTCAAGTCACAGAGTGGAACATTCCCATTCATAGAGCAGGTTGGAAACACTCTTTTTGGAGTATCTGGAAGTGGACATTTGGAGCGCTTTCTGAACTATGGTGAAAAAGGAAATATCTTCCAATGAAAACAAGACAGAAGCATTCTGAGAAACTTATTTGTGATGTGTGTCCTCAACAAACGGACTTGAACCTTTCGTTTCATGCAGTACTTCTGGAACACTCTTTTTGAAGATTCTGCATGCGGATATTTGGATAGCTTTGAGGATTTCGTTGGAAACGGGCTTACATGTAAAAATTAGACAGCAGCATTCTCAGAAACTTCTTTGTGGTGTCTGCATTCAAGTCACAGAATTGAACTTCCCCTCACATAGAGCAGTTGTGCAGCACTCTATTTGTAGTATCTGGAAGTGGACATTTGGAGGGCTTTGTAGCCTATCTGGAAAAAGGAAATATCTTCCCATGAATGCGAGATAGAAGTAATCTCAGAAACATGTTTATGCTGTATCTACTCAACTAACTGTGCTGAACATTTCTATTGATAGAGCAGTTTTGAGACACTCTTCTTTTGGAATCTGCAAGTGGATATTTGGATAGATTTGAGGATTTCGTTGGAAACGGGATTATATATCAAAAGTAGACAGCAGCATTCTCAGAAACTTCTTTGTGATGTTTGCATCCAGCTCTCAGAGTTGAACATTCCCTTTCATAGAGTAGGTTTGAAACCCTCTTTTTATAGTGTCTGGAAGCGGGCATTTGGAGCGCTTTCAGGCCTATGCTGAAAAAGGAAATATCTACCTATAGAAACTAGACAGAAGCATTCTGAGAATCACGTTTGTGATGTGGGTACTCAACTAACAGTGTTGATCCATTCTTTTGATACAGCAGTTTTGAACCACACTTTTTGTAGAATCTGCAAGTGGATATTTGGATAGCTGTGAGGATTTCGTTGGAAACGGGAATGTCTTCATAGAAAATTTAGACAGAAGCATTCTCAGAACCTTGATTGTGATGTGTGTTCTCCACTAACAGAGTTGAACCTTTCTTTTGACAGAACTGTTCTGAAACATTCTTTTTATAGAATCTGGAAGTGGATATTTGGAAAGCTTTGAGGATTTCGTTGGAAACGGGAATATCTTCAAATCAAATCTAGCCAGAAGCATTCTAAGAAACATCTTAGGGATGTTTACATTCAAGTCACAGAGTTGAACATTCCCTTTCACAGAGCAGGTTTGAAACAATCTTCTCGTACTATCTGGCAGTGGACATTTTGAGCTCCTTGGGGCCTATGCTGAAAAAGGAAATATCTTCCGACAAAAACTAGACAGAAGCATTCGCAGAATCACGTTTGTGATGTGTGCACTCAACTGTCAGAATTGAACCTTGGTTTGGACAGAGCACTTTTGAAACACTCTTTTTGTAGAATCTGCAGGTGGATATTTGGCTAGCTTTGAGGATTTCGTTGGAAACGGTAATGTCTTCAAAGAAAATCTAGACAGAAGCATTCTCAGAAACACCTTCGTGATGTTTGCAATCAAGTCACAGAGTTGAACCTTCCGTTTCATAGAGCAGGTTGGAAACACTCTTATTGTAGTATCTGGAAGTGGACATTTGGAGCGCTTTCAGGCCTATGGTGAAAAAGGAAATATCTTCCCATAAAAACGACATAGAAGCTATCTCAGGAACTTGTTTATGATGCATCTAATCAACTAACAGTGTTGAACCTTTGTACTGACAGAGCAGTTTGAAACACTCTTTTTTTGGAATCTGCAAGTGGATATTTGGATCACTTTGAGGATTTCGTTGGAAACGGGATGCAATATAAAACGTACACAGCAGCATACTCAGAAAATACTTTGCCATATTTCCATTCAAGTCACAGGAGTGGAACATTCCCATTCATAGGAGCAGGTTTGAAACACTTTTTTTGGAGTGTCTGGAAGTGGACATTTGGAGCGCTTTCAGAACTATGGTGAAAAAGGAAATATCTTCCAATGAAAACAAGACAGAAGCATTCTGAGAAACTTATTTGTGATGCGTGTCCTCAACTAACGGACTCGAACCTTTCGTTTCATGCAGTACTTCTGGAACACTCTTTTTGAAGATTCTGCATGCGGATATTTGGTTAGCTTTGAGGATTTCGTTGGAAACGGGCTTACATATAAAAATTAGACAGCAGCATTCTCAGAAACTTCTTTGTGGTGTCTGCATTCAAGTCACAGAATTGAACTTCCCCTCACATAGAGCAGTTGTGCAGCACTCTATTTGTAGTATCTGGAAGTGGACATTTGGAGGGCTTTGTAGCCTATCTGGAAAAAGGAAATATCTTCCCATGAATGCGAGATAGAAGTAATCTCAGAAACATGTTTATGCTGTATCTACTCAACTAACTGTGCTGAACATTTCTATTGATAGAGCAGTTTTGAGACCCTCTTCTTTTGGAATCTGCAAGTGGATATTTGGATAGATTTGAGGATTTCGTTGGAAACGGGATTATATATAAAAAGTAGACAGCAGCATTCTCAGAAACTTCTTTGTGATGTTTGCATCCAGCTCTCAGAGTTGAACATTCCCTTTCATAGAGTAGGTTTGAAACCCTCTTTTTATAGTGTCTGGAAGCGGGCATTTGGAGCGCTTTCAGGCCTATGCTGAAAAAGGAAATATCTACCTATAGAAACTAGACAGAAGCATTCTGAGAATCACGTTTGTGATGTGGGTACTCAACTAACAGTGTTGATCCATTCTTTTGATACAGCAGTTTTGAACCACACTTTTTGTAGAATCTGCAAGAGGATATTTGGATAGCTGTGAGGATTTCGTTGGAAACGGGAATGTCTTCAAAGAAAATCTAGACAGAAGCATTCTCAGAACCTTGATTGTGATGTGTGTTCTCCACTAACAGAGTTGAACCTTTCTTTTGACAGAACTGTTCTGAAACATTCTTTTTATAGAATCTGGAAGTGGATATTTGGAAAGCTTTGAGGATTTCGTTGGAAACGGGAATATCTTCAAATCAAATCTAGCCAGAAGCATTCTAAGAAACATCTTAGGGATGTTTACATTCAAGTCACAGAGTTGAACATTCCCTTTCACAGAGCAGGTTTGAAACAATCTTCTCGTACTATCTGGCAGTGGACATTTTGAGCTCCTTGGGGCCTATGCTGAAAAAGGAAATATCTTCCGACAAAAACTAGACAGAAGCATTCGCAGAATCACGTTTGTGATGTGTGCACTCAACTGTCAGAATTGAACCTTGGTTTGGACAGAGCACTTTTGAAACACTCTTTTTGTAGAATCTGCAGGTGGATATTTGGCTAGCTTTGAGGATTTCGTTGGAAACGGTAATGTCTTCAAAGAAAATCTAGACAGAAACATCCTCAGAAACACCTTCGTGATGTTTGCAATCAAGTCACAGAGTTGAACCTTCCGTTTCATAGAGCAGGTTGGAAACACACTTTTTGTAGTATCTGGAAGTGGACATCTGGAGCGCTTTCAGGCCTATGGTGAAAAAGGAAATAGCTTCCCATAAAAACGACATAGAAGCTATCTCAGGAACTTGTTTATGATGCATCTAATCAACTAACAGTGTTGAACCTTTGTACTGACAGAGCAGTTTGAAACACTCTTTTTTTGGAATCTGCAAGTGGATATTTGGATCGCTTTGAGGATTTCGTTGGAAACGGGATGCAATATAAAACGTACACAGCAGCATACTCAGAAAATACTTTGCCATATTTCCATTCAAGTCACAGAGTGGAACATTCCCATTCATAGAGCAGGTTTGAAACACTCTTTTTGGAGTATCTGGAAGTGGACATTTGGAGCGCTTTCTGAACTATGGTGAAAAAGGAAATATCTTCCAATGAAAACAAGACAGAAGCATTCTGAGAAACTTATTTGTGATGCGTGTCCTCAACTAACGGACTCGAACCTTTCGTTTCATGCAGTACTTCTGGAACACTCTTTTTGAAGATTCTGCATGCGGATATTTGGTTAGCTTTGAGGATTTCGTTGGAAACGGGCTTACATATAAAAATTAGACAGCAGCATTCTCAGAAACTTCTTTGTGGTGTCTGCATTCAAGTCACAGAATTGAACATCCCCTCACATAGAGCAGTTGTGCAGCACTCTATTTGTAGTATCTGGAAGTGGACATTTGGAGGGCTTTGTAGCCTATCTGGAAAAAGGAAATATCTTCCCATGAATGCGAGATAGAAGTAATCTCAGAAACATGTTTATGCTGTATCTACTCAACTAACTGTGCTGAACATTTCTATTGATAGAGCAGTTTTCAGACACTCTTCTTTTGGAATCTGCAAGTGGATATTTGGATAGATTTGAGGATTTCGTTGGAAACGGGATTATATATAAAAAGTAGACAGCAGCATTCTCAGAAACTTCTTTGTGATGTTTGCATCCAGCTCTCAGAGTTGAACATTCCCTTTCATAGAGTAGGTTTGAAACCCTCTTTTTATAGTGTCTGGAAGCGGGCATTTGGAGCGCTTTCAGGCCTATGCTTAAAATAGGAAATATCTACCTACAGAAACTAGACAGAAGCATTCTGAGAATCACGTTTGTGATGTGGGTACTCAACTAACAGTGTTGATCCATTCTTTTGATACAGCAGTTTTGAACCACACTTTTTGTAGAATCTGCAAGTGGATATTTGGATAGCTGTGAGGATTTCGTTGGAAACGGGAATGTCTTCAAAGAAAATCTAGACAGAAGCATTCTCAGAACCTTGATTGTGATGTGTGTTCTCCACTAACAGAGTTGAACCTTTCTTTTGACAGAACTGTTCTGAAACATTCTTTTTATAGAATCTGGAAGTGGATATTTGGAAAGCTTTGAGGATTTCGTTGGAAACGGGAATATCTTCAAATCAAATCTAGCCAGAAGCATTCTAAGAAACATCTTAGGGATGTTTACATTCAAGTCACAGAGTTGAACATTCCCTTTCACAGAGCAGGTTTGAAACAATCTTCTCGTACTATCTGGCAGTGGACATTTTGAGCTCCTTGGGGCCTATGCTGAAAAAGGAAATATCTTCCGACAAAAACTAGACAGAAGCATTCGCAGAATCACGTTTGTGATGTGTGCACTCAACTGTCAGAATTGAACCTTGGTTTGGACAGAGCACTTTTGAAACACTCTTTTTGTAGAATCTGCAGGTGGATATTTGGCTAGCTTTGAGGATTTCGTTGGAAACGGTAATGTCTTCAAAGAAAATCTAGACAGAAGCATTCTCAGAAACACCTTCGTGATGTTTGCAATCAAGTCACAGAGTTGAACCTTCCGTTTCATAGAGCAGGTTGGAAACACTCTTATTGTAGTATCTGGA
Source organism: Homo sapiens (assembly GCF_000001405.40). Lineage (NCBI taxonomy): Eukaryota > Metazoa > Chordata > Mammalia > Primates > Hominidae > Homo > Homo sapiens. Next base: position 45,777,218 of record NC_000008.11, read on the forward strand.
AGTGGACATTTGGAGCGCTTTCAGGCCTATGGTGAAAAAGGAAATATCTTCCCATAAAAACGACATAGAAGCTATCTCAGGAACTTGTTTATGATGCATCCAATCAACTAACAGTGTTGAACCTTTGTACTGACAGAGCAGTGTGAAACACTCTTTTTTTTGGAATCTGCAAGTTGATATTTGGATCGCTTTGAGGATTTAGTTGGAAACGGGATGCAATATAAAACGTACACAGCAGCATACTCAGAAAATACTTTGCCATATTTCCATTCAAGTCACAGAGTGGAACATTCCCATTCATAGAGCAGGTTGGAAACACTCTTTTTGGAGTATCTGGAAGTGGACATTTGGAGCGCTTTCTGAACTATGGTGAAAAAGGAAATATCTTCCAATGAAAACAAGACAGAAGCATTCTGAGAAACTTATTTGTGATGTGTGTCCTCAACAAACGGACTTGAACCTTTCGTTTCATGCAGTACTTCTGGAACACTCTTTTTGAAGATTCTGCATGCGGATATTTGGATAGCTTTGAGGATTTCGTTGGAAACGGGCTTACATGTAAAAATTAGACAGCAGCATTCTCAGAAACTTCTTTGTGGTGTCTGCATTCAAGTCACAGAATTGAACATCCCCTCACATAGAGCAGTTGTGCAGCACTCTATTTGTAGTATCTGGAAGTGGACATTTGGAGGGCTTTGTAGCCTATCTGGAAAAAGGAAATATCTTCCCATGAATGCGAGATAGAAGTAATCTCAGAAACACGTTTATGCTGTATCTACTCAACTAACTGTGCTGAACATTTCTATTGATAGAGCAGTTTTGAGACACTCTTCTTTTGGAATCTGCAAGTGGATATTTGGATAGATTTGAGGATTTCGTTGGAAACGGGATTATATATAAAAAGTAGACAGCAGCATTCTCAGAAACTTCTTTGTGATGTTTGCATCCAGCTCTCAGAGTTGAACATTCCCTTTCATAGAGTAGGTTTGAAACCCTCTTTTTATAGTGTCTGGAAGCGGGCATTTGGAGCGCTTTCAGGCCTATGCTTAAAATAGGAAATATCTACCTACAGAAACTAGACAGAAGCATTCTGAGAATCACGTTTGTGATGTGGGTACTCAACTAACAGTGTTGATCCATTCTTTTGATACAGCAGTTTTGAACCACACTTTTTGTAGAATCTGCAAGTGGATATTTGGATAGCTGTGAGGATTTCGTTGGAAACGGGAATGTCTTCATAGAAAATTTAGACAGAAGCATTCTCAGAACCTTGATTGTGATGTGTGTTCTCCACTAACAGGGTTGAACCTTTCTTTTGACAGAACTGTTTTGAAACATTCTTTTTATAGAATCTGGAAGTGGATATTTGGAAAGCTTTGAGGATTTCGTTGGAAACGGGAATATCTTCAAATCAAATCTAGCCAGAAGCATTCTAAGAAACATCTTAGGGATGTTTACATTCAAGTCACAGAGTTGAACATTCCCTTTCACAGAGCAGGTTTGAAACAATCTTCTCGTACTATCTGGCAGTGGACATTTTGAGCTCCTTGGGGCCTATGCTGAAAAAGGAAATATCTTCCGACAAAAACTAGACAGAAGCATTCGCAGAATCACGTTTGTGATGTGTGCACTCAACTGTCAGAATTGAACCTTGGTTTGGACAGAGCACTTTTGAAACACTCTTTTTGTAGAATCTGCAGGTGGATATTTGGCTAGCTTTGAGGATTTCGTTGGAAACGGTAATGTCTTCAAAGAAAATCTACACAGAAGCATTCTCAGAAACACCTTCGTGATGTTTGCAATCAAGTCACAGAGTTGAACCTTCCGTTTCATAGAGCAGGTTGGAAACACTCTTTTTGTAGTATCTGGAAGTGGACATTTGGAGGGCTTTGTAGCCTATCTGGAAAAAGGAAATATCTTCCCATGAATGCGAGATAGAAGCTATCTCAGGAACTTGTTTATGATGCATCTAATCAACTAACAGTGTTGAACCTTTGTACTGACAGAGCAGTTTGAAACACTCTTTTTTTGGAATCTGCAAGTGGATATTTGGATCGCTTTGAGGATTTCGTTGGAAACGGGATGCAATATAAAACGTACACAGCAGCATACTCAGAAAATACTTTGCCATATTTCCATTCAAGTCACAGAGTGGAACATTCCCATTCATAGAGCAGGTTGGAAACACTCTTTTTGGAGTATCTGGAAGTGGACATTTGGAGCGCTTTCTGAACTATGGTGAAAAAGGAAATATCTTCCAATGAAAACAAGACAGAAGCATTCTGAGAAACTTATTTGTGATGTGTGTCCTCAACAAACGGACTTGAACCTTTCGTTTCATGCAGTACTTCTGGAACACTCTTTTTGAAGATTCTGCATGCGGATATTTGGATAGCTTTGAGGATTTCGTTGGAAACGGGCTTACATGTAAAAATTAGACAGCAGCATTCTCAGAAACTTCTTTGTGGTGTCTGCATTCAAGTCACAGAATTGAACTTCCCCTCACATAGAGCAGTTGTGCAGCACTCTATTTGTAGTATCTGGAAGTGGACATTTGGAGGGCTTTGTAGCCTATCTGGAAAAAGGAAATATCTTCCCATGAATGCGAGATAGAAGTAATCTCAGAAACATGTTTTTGCTGTATCTACTCAACTAACTGTGCTGAACATTTCTATTGATAGAGCAGTTTTGAGACCCTCTTCTTTTGGAATCTGCAAGTGGATATTTGGATAGATTTGAGGATTTCGTTGGAAACGGGATTATATATAAAAAGTAGACAGCAGCATTCTCAGAAACTTCTTTGTGATGTTTGCATCCAGCTCTCAGAGTTGAACATTCCCTTTCATAGAGTAGGTTTGAAACCCTCTTTTTATAGTGTCTGGAAGCGGGCATTTTGAGCGCTTTCGGGCCTATGCTGAAAAAGGAAATATCTACCTATAGAAACTAGACAGAAGCATTCTGAGAATCACGTTTGTGATGTGGGTACTCAACTAACAGTGTTGATCCATTCTTTTGATACAGCAGTTTTGAACCACACTTTTTGTAGAATCTGCAAGTGGATATTTGGATAGCTGTGAGGATTTCGTTGGAAACGGGAATGTCTTCATAGAAAATTTAGACAGAAGCATTCTCAGAACCTTGATTGTGATGTGTGTTCTCCACTAACAGAGTTGAACCTTTCTTTTGACAGAACTGTTCTGAAACATTCTTTTTATAGAATCTGGAAGTGGATATTTGGAAAGCTTTGAGGATTTCGTTGGAAACGGGAATATCTTCAAATCAAATCTAGCCAGAAGCATTCTAAGAAACATCTTAGGGATGTGTACATTCAAGTCACAGAGTTGAACATTCCCCTTTCTCAGAGCAGGTTTGAAACAATCTTCTCGTACTATCTGGCAGTGGACATTTTGAGCTCCTTGGGGCCTATGCTGAAAAAGGAAATATCTTCCGACAAAAACTAGACAGAAGCATTCGCAGAATCACGTTTGTGATGTGTGCACTCAACTGTCAGAATTGAACCTTGGTTTGGACAGAGCACTTTTGAAACACTCTTTTTGTAGAATCTGCAGGTGGATATTTGGCTAGCTTTAGGGATTTCGTTGGAAACGGTAATGTCTTCAAAGAAAATCTAGACAGAAGCATTCTCAGAAACACCTTCGTGATGTTTGCAATCAAGTCACAGAGTTGAACCTTCCGTTTCATAGAGCAGGTTGGAAACACTCTTTTTGTAGTATCTGGAAGTGGACATTTGGAGGGCTTTGTAGCCTATGTGGAAAAAGGAAATATCTTCCCATGAATGCGAGATAGAAGCTATCTCAGGAACTTGTTTATGATGCATCTAATCAACTAACAGTGTTGAACCTTTGTACTGACAGAGCAGTTTGAAACACTCTTTTTTTGGAATCTGCAAGTGGATATTTGGATCGCTTTGAGGATTTCGTTGGAAACGGGATGCAATATAAAACGTACACAGCAGCATACTCAGAAAATACTTTGCCATATTTCCATTCAAGTCACAGAGTGGAACATTCCCATTCATAGAGCAGGTTGGAAACACTCTTTTTGGAGTATCTGGAAGTGGACATTTGGAGCGCTTTCTGAACTATGGTGAAAAAGGAAATATCTTCCAATGAAAACAAGACAGAAGCATTCTGAGAAACTTATTTGTGATGTGTGTCCTCAACAAACGGACTTGAACCTTTCGTTTCATGCAGTACTTCTGGAACACTCTTTTTGAAGATTCTGCATGCGGATATTTGGATAGCTTTGAGGATTTCGTTGGAAACGGGCTTACATGTAAAAATTAGACAGCAGCATTCTCAGAAACTTCTTTGTGGTGTCTGCATTCAAGTCACAGAATTGAACTTCCCCTCACATAGAGCAGTTGTGCAGCACTCTATTTGTAGTATCTGGAAGTGGACATTTGGAGGGCTTTGTAGCCTATCTGGAAAAAGGAAATATCTTCCCATGAATGCGAGATAGAAGTAATCTCAGAAACATGTTTATGCTGTATCTACTCAACTAACTGTGCTGAACATTTCTATTGATAGAGCAGTTTTGAGACACTCTTCTTTTGGAATCTGCAAGTGGATATTTGGATAGATTTGAGGATTTCGTTGGAAACGGGATTATATATAAAAAGTAGACAGCAGCATTCTCAGAAACTTCTTTGTGATGTTTGCATCCAGCTCTCAGAGTTGAACATTCCCTTTCATAGAGTAGGTTTGAAACCCTCTTTTTATAGTGTCTGGAAGTGGTCATTTGGAGCGCTTTCAGGCCTATGCTGAAAAAGGAAATATCTACCTATAGAAACTAGACAGAAGCATTCTGAGAATCACGTTTGTGATGTGGGTACTCAACTAACAGTGTTGATCCATTCTTTTGATACAGCAGTTTTGAACCACACTTTTTGTAGAATCTGCAAGTGGATATTTGGATAGCTGTGAGGATTTCGTTGGAAACGGGAATGTCTTCATAGAAAATTTAGACAGAAGCATTCTCAGAACCTTGATTGTGATGTGTGTTCTCCACTAACAGAGTTGAACCTTTCTTTTGACAGAACTGTTTTGAAACATTCTTTTTATAGAATCTGGAAGTGGATATTGGGAAAGCTTTGAGGATTTCGTTGGAAACGGGAATATCTTCAAATCAAATCTAGCCAGAAGCATGCTAAGAAACATCTTAGGGATGTTTACATTCAAGTCACAGAGTTGAACATTCCCTTTCACAGAGCAGGTTTGAAACAATCTTCTCGTACTATCTGGAAGTGGACATTTTGAGCTCCTTGGGGCCTATGCTGAAAAAGGAAATATCTTCCAACAAAAACTAGACAGAAGCATTCGCAGAATCACGTTTGTGATGTGTGCACTCAACTGTCAGAATTGAACCTTGGTTTGGACAGAGCACTTTTGAAACACTCTTTTTGTAGAATCTGCAGGTGGATATTTGGCTAGCTTTGAGGATTTCGTTGGAAACGGTAATGTCTTCAAAGAAAATCTAGACAGAAGCATTCTCAGAAACACCTTCGTGATGTTTGCAATCAAGTCACAGAGTTGAACCTTCCGTTTCATAGAGCAGGTTGGAAACACTCTTTTTGTAGTATCTGGAAGTGGACATTTGGAGGGCTTTGTAGCCTATCTGGAAAAAGGAAATATCTTCCCATGAATGCGAGATAGAAGCTATCTCAGGAACTTGTTTATGATGCATCTAATCAACTAACAGTGTTGAACCTTTGTACTGACAGAGCAGTTTGAAACACTCTTTTTTTGGAATCTGCAAGTGGATATTTGGATCGCTTTGAGGATTTCGTTGGAAACGGGATGCAATATAAAACGTACACAGCAGCATACTCAGAAAATACTTTGCCATATTTCCATTCAAGTCACAGAGTGGAACATTCCCATTCATAGAGCAGGTTTGAAACACTCTTTTTGGAGTATCTGGAAGTGGACATTTGGAGCGCTTTCTGAACTATGGTGAAAAAGGAAATATCTTCCAATGAAAACAAGACAGAAGCATTCTGAGAAACTTATTTGTGATGTGTGTCCTCAACAAACGGACTTGAACCTTTCGTTTCATGCAGTACTTCTGGAACACTCTTTTTGAAGATTCTGCATGCGGATATTTGGATAGCTTTGAGGATTTCGTTGGAAACGGGCTTACATGTAAAAATTAGACAGCAGCATTCTCAGAAACTTCTTTGTGGTGTCTGCATTCAAGTCACAGAATTGAACTTCCCCTCACATAGAGCAGTTGTGCAGCACTCTATTTGTAGTATCTGGAAGTGGACATTTGGAGGGCTTTGTAGCCTATCTGGAAAAAGGAAATATCTTCCCATGAATGCGAGATAGAAGTAATCTCAGAAACATGTTTATGCTGTATCTACTCAACTAACTGTGCTGAACATTTCTATTGATAGAGCAGTTTTGAGACACTCTTCTTTTGGAATCTGCAAGTGGATATTTGGAGAGATTTGAGGATTTCGTTGGAAACGGGATTATATATAAAAAGTAGACAGCAGCATTCTCAGAAACTTCTTTGTGATGTTTGCATCCAGCTCTCAGAGTTGAACATTCCCTTTCATAGAGTAGGTTTGAAACCCTCTTTTTATAGTGTCTGGAAGCGGGCATTTGGAGCGCTTTCACGCCTATGCTGAAAAAGGAAATATCTACCTACAGAAACTAGTCAGAAGCATTCTGAGAATCACGTTTGTGATGTGGGTACTCAACTAACAGTGTTGATCCATTCTTTTGATACAGCAGTTTTGAACCACACTTTTTGTAGAATCTGCAAGTGGATATTTGGATAGCTGTGAGGATTTCGTTGGAAACGGGAATGTCTTCATAGAAAATTTAGACAGAAGCATTCTCAGAACCTTGATTGTGATGTGTGTTCTCCACTAACAGAGTTGAACCTTTCTTTTGACAGAACTGTTCTGAAACATTCTTTTTATAGAATCTGGAAGTGGATATTTGGAAAGCTTTGAGGATTTCGTTGGAAACGGGAATATCTTCAAATAAAATCTAGCCAGAAGCATTCTAAGAAACATCTTAGGGATGTTTACATTCAAGTCACAGAGTTGAACATTCCCTTTCACAGAGCAGGTTTGAAACAATCTTCTCGTACTATCTGGCAGTGGACATTTTGAGCTCCTTGGGGCCTATGCTGAAAAAGGAAATATCTTCCGACAAAAACTAGACAGAAGCATTCGCAGAATCACGTTTGTGATGTGTGCACTCAACTGTCAGAATTGAACCTTGGTTTGGACAGAGCACTTTTGAAACACTCTTTTTGTAGAATCTGCAGGTGGATATTTGGCTAGCTTTGAGGATTTCGTTGGAAACGGTAATGTCTTCAAAGAAAATCTAGACAGAAGCATTCTCAGAAACACCTTCGTGATGTTTGCAATCAAGTCACAGAGTTGAACCTTCCGTTTCATAGAGCAGGTTGGAAACAATCTTTTTGTAGTATCTGGAAGTGGACATTTGGAGGGCTTTGTAGCCTATCTGGAAAAAGGAAATATCTTCCCATGAATGCGAGATAGAAGCTATCTCAGGAACTTGTTTATGATGCATCTAATCAAACTAAAAGTGTTGAACCTTTGTACTGACAGAGCAGTTTGAAACACTCTTTTTTTGGAATCTGCAAGTGGATATTTGGATCGCTTTGAGGATTTCGTTGGAAACGGGATGCAATATAAAACGTACACAGCAGCATACTCAGAAAATGCTTTGCCATATTTCAATTCAAGTCACAGAGTGGAACATTCCCATTCATAGAGCAGGTTTGAAACACTCTTTTTGTAGTATCTGGAAGTGGACATTTGGAGCGCTTTCTGAACTATGGTGAAAAAGGAAATATCTTCCAATGAAAAGAAGACAGAAGCATTCTGAGAAACTTATTTGTGATGTGTGTCCTCAACTAACGGACTTGAACCTTTCGTTTCATGCAGTACTTCTGGAACACTCTTTTTGAAGATTCTGCATGCGGATATTTGGATAGCTTTGAGGATTTCGTTGGAAACGGGCTTACATATAAAAATTAGACAGCAGCATTCTCAGAAACTTCTTTGTGGTGTCTGCATTCAAGTCACAGAATTGAACTTCCCCTCACATAGAGCAGTTGTGCAGCACTCTATTTGTAGTATCTCGAAGTGCACATTTGGAGGGCTTTGTAGCCTATCTGGAAAAAGGAAATATCTTCCCATGAATGCGAGATAGAAGTAATCTCAGAAACATGTTTATGCTGTATCTACTCAACTAACTGTGCTGAACATTTCTATTGATAGAGCAGTTTTGAGACACTCTTCTTTTGGAATCTGCAAGTGGATATTTGGATAGATTTGAGGATTTCGTTGGAAACGGGATTATATATCAAAAGCAGACAGCAGCATTCTCAGAAACTTCTTTGTGATGTTTGCATCCAGCTCTCAGAGTTGAACATTCCCTTTCATAGAGTAGGTTTGAAACCCTCTTTTTATAGTGTCTGGAAGCGGGCATTTGGAGCGCTTTCAGGCCTATGCTGAAAAAGGAAATATCTACCTATAGAAACTAGACAGAAGCATTCTGAGAATCACGTTTGTGATGTGGGTACTCAACTAACAGTGTTGATCCATTCTTTTGATACAGCAGTTTTGAACCACACTTTTTGTAGAATCTGCAAGTGGATATTTGGATAGCTGTGAGGATTTCGTTGGAAACGGGAATGTCTTCATAGAAAATTTAGACAGAAGCATTCTCAGAACCTTGATTGTGATGTGTGTTCTCCACTAACAGAGTTGAACCTTTCTTTTGACAGAACTGTTCTGAAACATTCTTTTTATAGAATCTGGAAGTGGATATTTGGAAAGCTTTGAGGATTTCGTTGGAAACGGGAATATCTTCAAATCAAATCTAGCCAGAAGCATTCTAAGAAACATCTTAGGGATGTTTACATTCAAGTCACAGAGTTGAACATTCCCTTTCACAGAGCAGGTTTGAAACAATCTTCTCGTACTATCTGGCAGTGGACATTTTGAGCTCCTTGGGGCCTATGCTGAAAAAGGAAATATCTTCCGACAAAAACTAGACAGAAGCATTCGCAGAATCACGTTTGTGATGTGTGCACTCAACTGTCAGAATTGAACCTTTGTTTGGACAGAGCACTTTTGAAACACTCTTTTTGTAGGATCTGCAGGTGGATATTTGGCTAGCTTTGAGGATTTCGTTGGAAACGGTAATGTCTTCAAAGAAAATCTAGACAGAAGCATTCTCAGAAACACCTTCGTGATGTTTGCAATCAAGTCACAGAGTTGAACCTTCCGTTTCATAGAGCAGGTTGGAAACACTCTTATTGTAGTATCTGGAAGTGGACATTTGGAGCGCTTTCAGGCCTATGGTGAAAAAGGAAATATCTTCCCATAAAAACGACATAGAAGCTATCTCAGGAACTTGTTTATGATGCATCTAATCAACTAACAGTGTTGAACCTTTGTACTGACAGAGCAGTTTGAAACACTCTTTTTTTGGAATCTGCAAGTGGATATTTGGATCGCTTTGAGGATTTCGTTGGAAACGGGATGCAATATAAAACGTACACAGCAGCATACTCAGAAAATTCTTTGCCATATTTCCATTCAAGTCACAGAGTGGAACATTCCCATTCATAGAGCAGGTTGGAAACACTCTTTTTGGAGTATCTGGAAGTGGACATTTGGAGCGCTTTCTGAACTATGGTGAAAAAGGAAATATCTTCCAATGAAAACAAGACAGAAGCATTCTGAGAAACTTATTTGTGATGTGTGTCCTCAACAAACGGACTTGAACCTTTCGTTTCATGCAGTACTTCTGGAACACTCTTTTTGAAGATTCTGCATGCGGATATTTGGATAGCTTTGAGGATTTCGTTGGAAACGGGCTTACATGTAAAAATTAGACAGCAGCATTCTCAGAAACTTCTTTGTGGTGTCTGCATTCAAGTCACAGAATTGAACTTCCCCTCACATAGAGCAGTTGTGCAGCACTCTATTTGTAGTATCTGGAAGTGGACATTTGGAGGGCTTTGTAGCCTATCTGGAAAAAGGAAATATCTTCCCATGAATGCGAGATAGAAGTAATCTCAGAAACATGTTTATGCTGTATCTACTCAACTAACTGTGCTGAACATTTCTATTGATAGAGCAGTTTTGAGACACTCTTCTTTTGGAATCTGCAAGTGGATATTTGGATAGATTTGAGGATTTCGTTGGAAACGGGATTATATATAAAAAGTAGACAGCAGCATTCTCAGAAACTTCTTTGTGATGTTTGCATCCAGCTCTCAGAGTTGAACATTCCCTTTCATAGAGTAGGTTTGAAACCCTCTTTTTATAGTGTCTGGAAGCGGGCATTTGGAGCGCTTTCAGGCCTATGCTGAAAAAGGAAATATCTACCTATAGAAACTAGACAGAAGCATTCTGAGAATCACGTTTGTGATGTGGGTACTCAACTAACAGTGTTGATCCATTCTTTTGATACAGCAGTTTTGAACCACACTTTTTGTAGAATCTGCAAGAGGATATTTGGATAGCTGTGAGGATTTCGTTGGAAACGGGAATGTCTTCAAAGAAAATCTAGACAGAAGCATTCTCAGAACCTTGATTGTGATGTGTGTTCTCCACTAACAGAGTTGAACCTTTCTTTTGACAGAACTGTTCTGAAACATTCTTTTTATAGAATCTGGAAGTGGATATTTGGAAAGCTTTGAGGATTTCGTTGGAAACGGGAATATCTTCAAATCAAATCTAGCCAGAAGCATTCTAAGAAACATCTTAGGGATGTTTACATTCAAGTCACAGAGTTGAACATTCCCTTTCACAGAGCAGGTTTGAAACAATCTTCTCGTACTATCTGGAAGTGGACATTTTGAGCTCCTTGGGGCCTATGCTGAAAAAGGAAATATCTTCCGACAAAAACTAGACAGAAGCATTCGCAGAATCACGTTTGTGATGTGTGCACTCAACTGTCAGAATTGAACCTTGGTTTGGAGAGAGCACTTTTGAAACACACTTTTTGTAGAATCTGCAGGTGGATATTTGGCTAGCTTTGAGGATTTCGTTGGAAACGGTAATGTCTTCAAAGAAAATCTAGACAGAAGCATTCTCAGAAACACCTTCGTGATGTTTGCAATCAAGTCACAGAGTTGAACCTTCCGTTTCATAGAGCAGGTTGGAAACACTCTTATTGTAGTATCTGGAAGTGGACATTTGGAGCGCTTTCAGGCCTATGGTGAAAAAGGAAATATCTTCCCATAAAAACGACATAGAAGCTATCTCAGGAACTTGTTTATGATGCATCTAATCAACTAACAGTGTTGAACCTTTGTACTGACAGAGCAGTTTGAAACACTCATTTTTTGGAATCTGCAAGTGGATATTTGGAGCGCTTTGAGGATTTCGTTGGAAACGGGATGCAATATAAAACGTACACAGCAGCATACTCAGAAAATACTTTGCCATATTTCCATTCAAGTCACAGAGTGGAACATTCCCATTCATAAAGCAGGTTTGAAACACTCTTTTTGGAGTATCTGGAAGTGGACATTTGGAGCGCTTTCTGAACTATGGTGAAAAAGGAAATATCTTCCAATGAAAACAAGACAGAAGCATTCTGAGAAACTTATTTGCGATATGTGTCCTCAACTAACGGACTTGAACCTTTCGTTTCATGCAGTACCTCTGGAACACTCTTTTTGAAGATTCTGCATGTGGATATTTGGATAGCTTTGAGGATTTCGTTGGAAACGGGCTTACATATAAAAATTAGACAGCAGCATTCTCAGAAACTTCTTTGTGGTGTCTGCATTCAAGTCACAGAATTGAAAATCCCCTCACATAGAGCAGTTGTGCAGCACTCTATCTGTAGTATCTCGAAGTGGATATTTGGAGGGCTTTGTAGCCTATCTGGAAAAAGGAAATATCTTCCCATGAATGCGAGATAGAAGTAATCTCAGAAACATGTTTATGCTGTATCTACTCAACTAACTGTGCTGAACATTTCTATTGATAGAGCAGTTTTGAGACACTCTTCTTTTGGAATCTGCAAGTGGATATTTGGATAGATTTGAGGATTTCGTTGGAAACGGGATTATATATAAAAAGTAGACAGCAGCATTCTCAGAAACTTCTTTGTGATGTTTGCATCCAGGTCTCAGAGTTGAACATTCCGTTTCATAGAGTAGGTTTGAAACCCCCTTTTTATAGTGTCTGGAAGCGGGCATTTGGAGCGCTTTCAGGCCTATGCTGAAAAAGGAAATATCTACCTACAGAAACTAGACAGAAGCATTCTGAGAATCTCGTTTGTGTTGTGGGTACTCAACTAACAGTGTTGATCCATTCTTTTGATACAGCAGTTTTGAACCACACTTTTTGTAGAATCTGCAAGAGGATATTTGGATAGCTGTGAGGATTTCGTTGGAAACGGGAATGTCTTCAAAGAAAATCTAGACAGAAGCATTCTCAGAACCTTGATTGTGATGTGTGTTCTCCACTAACAGAGTTGAACCTTTCTTTTGACAGAACTGTTCTGAAACATTCTTTTTATAGAATCTGGAAGTGCATATTTGGAAAGCTTTGAGGATTTCGTTGGAAACGGGAATATCTTCAAATCAAATCTAGCCAGAAGCATTCTAAGAAACATCTTAGGGATGTTTACATTCAAGTCACAGAGTTGAACATTCCCTTTCACAGAGCAGGTTTGAAACAATCTTCTCGTACTATCTGGCAGTGGACATTTTGAGCTCCTTGGGGCCTATGCTGAAAAAGGAAATATCTTCCGACAAAAACTAGACAGAAGCATTCGCAGAATCACGTTTGTGATGTGTGCACTCAACTGTCAGAATTGAACCTTGGTTTGGACAGAGCACTTTTGAAACACTCTTTTTGTAGAATCTGCAGGTGGATATTTGGCTAGCTTTGAGGATTTCGTTGGAAACGGTAATGTCTTCAAAGAAAATCTAGACAGAAGCATTCTCAGAAACACCTTCGTGATGTTTGCAATCAAGTCACAGAGTTGAACCTTCCGTTTCATAGAGCAGGTTGGAAACACTCTTTTTGTAGTATCTGGAAGTGGACATTTGGAGGGCTTTGTAGCCTATCTGGAAAAAGGAAATATCTTCCCATGAATGCGAGATAGAAGCTATCTCAGGAACTTGTTTATGATGCATCTAATCAACTAACAGTGTTGAACCTTTGTACTGACAGAGCAGTTTGAAACACTCTTTTTTTGGAATCTGCAAGTGGATATTTGGATCGCTTTGAGGATTTCGTTGGAAACGGGATGCAATATAAAACGTACACAGCAGCATACTCAGAAAATACTTTGCCATATTTCCATTCAAGTCACAGAGTGGAACATTCCCATTCATAGAGCAGGTTTGAAACACTCTTTTTGGAGTATCTGGAAGTGGACATTTGGAGCGCTTTCTGAACTATGGTGAAAAAGGAAATATCTTCCAATGAAAACAAGACAGAAGCATTCTGAGAAACTTATTTGTGATGTGTGTCCTCAACTAACGGACTTGAACCTTTCGTTTCATGCAGTACTTCTGGAACACTCTTTTTGAAGATTCTGCATGCGGATATTTGGATAGCTTTGAGGATTTCGTTGGAAACGGGCTTACATATAAAAATTAGACAGCAGCATTCTCAGAAACTTCTTTGTGGTGTCTGCATTCAAGTCACAGAATTGAACTTCCCCTCACATAGAGCAGTTGTGCAGCACTCTATTTGTAGTATCTGGAAGTGGACATTTGGAGGGCTTTGTAGCCTATCTGGAAAAAGGAAATATCTTCCCATGAATGCGAGATAGAAGTAATCTCAGAAACATGTTTATGCTGTATCTACTCAACTAACTGTGCTGAACATTTCTATTGATAGAGCAGTTTTGAGACACTCTTCTTTTGGAATCTGCTAGTGGATATTTGGATAGATTTGAGGATTTCATTGGAAACGGGATTATATATAAAAAGTAGACAGCAGCATTCTCAGAAACTTCTTTGTGATGTTTGCATCCAGCTCTCAGAGTTGAACATTCCCTTTCATAGAGTAGGTTTGAAACCCTCTTTTTATAGTGTCTGGAAGCGGGCATTTGGAGCGCTTTCGGGCCTATGCTGAAAAAGGAAATATCTACCTATAGAAACTAGACAGAAGCATTCTGAGAATCACGTTTGTGATGTGGGTACTCAACTAACAGTGTTGATCCATTCTTTTGATACAGCAGTTTTGAACCACACTTTTTGTAGAATCTGCAAGTGGATATTTGGATAGCTGTGAGGATTTCGTTGGAAACGGGAATGTCTTCATAGAAAATTTAGACAGAAGCATTCTCAGAACCTTGATTGTGATGTGTGTTCTCCACTAACAGAGTTGAACCTTTCTTTTGACAGAACTGTTCTGAAACATTCTTTTTGTAGAATCTGGAAGTGGATATTTGGAAAGCTTTGAGGATTTCGTTGGAAACGGGAATATCTTCAAATAAAATCTAGCCAGAAGCATTCTAAGAAACATCTTAGGGATGTTTACATTCAAGTCACAGAGTTGAACATTCCCTTTCACAGAGCAGGTTTGAAACAATCTTCTCGTACTATCTGGCAGTGGACATTTTGAGCTCCTTGGGGCCTATGCTGAAAAAGGAAATATCTTCCGACAAAAACTAGACAGAAGCATTCGCAGAATCACGTTTGTGATGTGTGCACTCAACTGTCAGAATTGAACCTTGGTTTGGACAGAGCACTTTTGAAACACTCTTTTTGTAGAATCTGCAGGTGGATATTTGGCTAGCTTTGAGGATTTCGTTGGAAACGGTAATGTCTTCAAAGAAAATCTAGACAGAAGCATTCTCAGAAACACCTTCGTGATGTTTGCAATCAAGTCACAGAGTTGAACCTTCCGTTTCATAGAGCAGGTTGGAAACACTCTTTTTGTAGTATCTGGAAGTGGACATTTGGAGGGCTTTGTAGCCTATGTGGAAAAAGGAAATATCTTCCCATGAATGCGAGATAGAAGCTATCTCAGGAACTTGTTTATGATGCATCTAATCAACTAACAGTGTTGAACCTTTGTACTGACAGAGCAGTTTGAAACACTCTTTTTTTGGAATCTGCAAGTGGATATTTGGATCGCTTTGAGGATTTCGTTGGAAACGGGATGCAATATAAAACGTACACAGCAGCATACTCAGAAAATACTTTGCCATATTTCCATTCAAGTCACAGAGTGGAACATTCCCATTCATAGAGCAGGTTGGAAACACTCTTTTTGGAGTATCTGGAAGTGGACATTTGGAGCGCTTTCTGAACTATGGTGAAAAAGGAAATATCTTCCAATGAAAACAAGACAGAAGCATTCTGAGAAACTTATTTGTGATGTGTGTCCTCAACTAACGGACTTGAACCTTTCGTTTCATGCAGTACTTCTGGAACACTCTTTTTGAAGATTCTGCATGCGGATATTTGGATAGCTTTGAGGATTTCGTTGGAAACGGGCTTACATATAAAAATTAGACAGCAGCATTCTCAGAAACTTCTTTGTGGTGTCTGCATTCAAGTCACAGAATTGAACTTCCCCTCACATAGAGCAGTTGTGCAGCACTCTATTTGTAGTATCTGGAAGTGGACATTTGGAGGGCTTTGTAGCCTATCTGGAAAAAGGAAATATCTTCCCATGAATGCGAGATAGAAGTAATCTCAGAAACATGTTTATGCTGTATCTACTCAACTAACTGTGCTGAACATTTCTATTGATAGAGCAGTTTTGAGACACTCTTCTTTTGGAATCTGCAAGTGGATATTTGGATAGATTTGAGGATTTCGTTGGAAACGGGATTATATATCAAAAGTAGACAGCAGCATTCTCAGAAACTTCTTTGTGATGTTTGCATCCAGCTCTCAGAGTTGAACATTCCCTTTCATAGAGTAGGTTTGAAACCCTCTTTTTATAGTGTCTGGAAGCGGGCATTTGGAGCGCTTTCAGGCCTATGCTGAAAAAGGAAATATCTACCTATAGAAACTAGACAGAAGCATTCTGAGAATCTCGTTTGTGATGTGGGTACTCAACTAACAGTGTTGATCCATTCTTTTGATACAGCAGTTTTGAACCACACTTTTTGTAGAATCTGCAAGAGGATATTTGGATAGCTGTGAGGATTTCGTTGGAAACGGGAATGTCTTCAAAGAAAATCTAGACAGAAACATTCTCAGAAACACCTTCGTGATGTTTGCAATCAAGTCACAGAGTTGAACCTTCCGTTTCATAGAGCAGGTTGGAAACACTCTTTTTGTAGTATCTGGAAGTGGACATTTGGAGCGCTTTCAGGCCTATGGTGAAAAAGGAAATATCTTCCCATAAAAACGACATAGAAGCTATCTCAGGAACTTGTTTATGATGCATCTAATCAACTAACAGTGTTGAACCTTTGTACTGACAGAGCAGTTTGAAACACTCTTTTTTTGGAATCTGCAAGTGGATATTTGGATCGCTTTGAGGATTTCGTTGGAAACGGGATGCAATATAAAACGTACACAGCAGCATACTCAGAAAATACTTTGCCATATTTCCATTCAAGTCACAGAGTGGAACATTCCCATTCATAGAGCAGGTTGGAAACACTCTTTTTGGAGTATCTGGAAGTGGACATTTGGAGCGCTTTCTGAACTATGGTGAAAAAGGAAATATCTTCCAATGAAAACAAGACAGAAGCATTCTGAGAAACTTATTTGTGATGTGTGTCCTCAACAAACGGACTTGAAACTTTCGTTTCATGCAGTACTTCTGGAACACTCTTTTTGAAGATTCTGCATGCGGATATTTGGATAGCTTTGAGGATTTCGTTGGAAACGGTCTTACATGTAAAAATTAGACAACAGCATTCTCAGAAACTTCTTTGTGGTGTCTGCATTCAAGTCACAGAATTGAACTTCCCCTCACATAGAGCAGTTGTGCAGCACTCTATTTGTAGTATCTGGAAGTGGACATTTGGAGGGCTTTGTAGCCTATCTGGAAAAAGGAATTATCTTCCCATGAATGCGAGATAGAAGTAATCTGAGAAACATGTTTATGCTGTATCTACTCAACTAACTGTGCTGAACATTTCTATTGATAGAGCAGTTTTGAGACACTCTTCTTTTGGAATCTGCAAGTGGATATTTGGATAGATTTGAGGATTTCGTTGGAAACGGGATTATATATAAAAAGTAGACAGCAGCATTCTCAGAAACTTCTTTGTGATGTTTGCATCCAGCTCTCAGAGTTGAACATTCCCTTTCATAGAGTAGGTTTGAAACCCTCTTTTTATAGTGTCTGGAAGCGGGCATTTGGAGCGCTTTCAGGCCTATGCTTAAAATAGGAAATATCTACCTACAGAAACTAGACAGAAGCATTCTGAGAATCACGTTTGTGATGTGGGTACTCAACTAACAGTGTTGATCCATTCTTTTGATACAGCAGTTTTGAACCACACTTTTTGTAGAATCTGCAAGTGGATATTTGGATAGCTGTGAGGATTTCGTTGGAAACGGGAATGTCTTCATAGAAAATTTAGACAGAAGCATTCTCAGAACCTTGATTGTGATGTGTGTTCTCCACTAACAGGGTTGAACCTTTCTTTTGACAGAACTGTTTTGAAACATTCTTTTTATAGAATCTGGAAGTGGATATTTGGAAAGCTTTGAGGATTTCGTTGGAAACGGGAATATCTTCAAATCAAATCTAGCCAGAAGCATTCTAAGAAACATCTTAGGGATGTTTACATTCAAGTCACAGAGTTGAACATTCCCTTTCACAGAGCAGATTTGAAACAATCTTCTCGTACTATCTGGCAGTGGACATTGTGAGCTCCTTGGGGCCTATGCTGAAAAAGGAAATATCTTCCGACAAAAACTAGACAGAAGCATTCGCAGAATCACGTTTGTGATGTGTGCACTCAACTGTCAGAAGTGAACCTTGGTTTGGAGAGAGCACTTTTGAAACACACTTTTTGTAGAATCTGCAGGTGGATATTTGGCTAGCTTTGAGGATTTCGTTGGAAACGGTAATGTCTTCAAAGAAAATCTAGACAGAAGCATTCTCAGAAACACCTTCGTGATGTTTGCAATCAAGTCACAGAGTTGAACCTTCCGTTTCATAGAGCAGGTTGGAAACACACTTTTTGTAGTATCTGGAAGTGGACATTTGGAGGGCTTTGTAGCCTATCTGGAAAAAGGAAATATCTTCCCATGAATGCGAGATAGAAGCTATCTCAGGAACTTGTTTATGATGCATCCAATCAACTAACAGTGTTGAACCTTTGTACTGACAGAGCAGTGTGAAACACTCTTTTTTTTGGAATCTGCAAGTGGATATTTGGATCGCTTTGAGGATTTCGTTGGAAACGGGATGCAATATAAAACGTACACAGCAGCATACTCAGAAAATACTTTGCCATATTTCCATTCAAGTCACAGAGTGGAACATTCCCATTCATAGAGCAGGTTGGAAACACTCCTTTTGTAGTATCTGGAAGTGGACATTTGGAGCGCTTTCTGAACTATGGTGAAAGAGGAAATATCTTCCAATGAAAACAAGACAGAAGCATTCTGAGAAACTTATTTGTGATGTGTGTCCTCAACAAACGGACTTGAAACTTTCGTTTCATGCAGTACTTCTGGAACACTCTTTTTGAAGATTCTGCATGCGGATATTTGGATAGCTTTGAGGATTTCGTTGGAAACGGTCTTACATGTAAAAATTAGACAACAGCATTCTCAGAAACTTCTTTGTGGTGTCTGCATTCAAGTCACAGAATTGAACTTCCCCTCACATAGAGCAGTTGTGCAGCACTCTATTTGTAGTATCTGGAAGTGGACATTTGGAGGGCTTTGTAGCCTATCTGGAAAAAGGAAATATCTTCCCATGAATGCGAGATAGAAGTAATCTCAGAAACATGTTTATGCTGTATCTACTCAACTAACTGTGCTGAACATTTCTATTGATAGAGCAGTTTTGAGACACTCTTCTTTTGGAATCTGCAAGTGGATATTTGGATAGATTTGAGGATTTCGTTGGAAACGGGATTATATATAAAAAGTAGACAGCAGCATTCTCAGAAACTTCTTTGTGATGTTTGCATCCAGCTCTCAGAGTTGAACATTCCCTTTCATAGAGTAGGTTTGAAACCCTCTTTTTATAGTGTCTGGAAGCGGGCATTTGGAGCGCTTTCAGGCCTATGCTGAAAAAGGAAATATCTACCTATAGAAACTAGACAGAAGCATTCTGAGAATCACGTTTGTGATGTGGGTACTCAACTAACAGTGTTGATCCATTCTTTTGATACAGCAGTTTTGAACCACACTTTTTGTAGAATCTGCAAGTGGATATTTGGATAGCTGTGAGGATTTCGTTGGAAACGGGAATGTCTTCATAGAAAATTTAGACAGAAGCATTCTCAGAACCTTGATTGTGATGTGTGTTCTCCACTAACAGAGTTGAACCTTTCTTTTGACAGAACTGTTCTGAAACATTCTTTTTATAGAATCTGGAAGTGGATATTTGGAAAGCTTTGAGGATTTCGTTGGAAACGGGAATATCTTCAAATAAAATCTAGCCAGAAGCATTCTAAGAAACATCTTAGGGATGTTTACATTCAAGTCACAGAGTTGAACATTCCCTTTCACAGAGCAGGTTTGAAACAATCTTCTCGTACTATCTGGCAGTGGACATTTTGAGCTCCTTGGGGCCTATGCTGAAAAAGGAAATATCTTCCGACAAAAACTAGACAGAAGCATTCGCAGAATCACGTTTGTGATGTGTGCACTCAACTGTCAGAATTGAACCTTGGTTTGGACAGAGCACTTTTGAAACACTCTTTTTGTAGAATCTGCAGGTGGATATTTGGCTAGCTTTGAGGATTTCGTTGGAAACGGTAATGTCTTCAAAGAAAATCTAGACAGAAACATTCTCAGAAACACCTTCGTGATGTTTGCAATCAAGTCACAGAGTTGAACCTTCCGTTTCATAGAGCAGGTTGGAAACACTCTTTTTGTAGTATCTGGAAGTGGACATTTGGAGCGCTTTCAGGCCTATGGTGAAGAAGGAAATATCTTCCCATAAAAACGACATAGAAGCTATCTCAGGAACTTGTTTATGATGCATCTAATCAACTAACAGTGTTGAACCTTTGTACTGACAGAGCAGTTTGAAACACTCTTTTTTTGGAATCTGCAAGTGGATATTTGGATCGCTTTGAGGATTTCGTTGGAAACGGGATGCAATATAAAACGTACACAGCAGCATACTCAGAAAATACTTTGCCATATTTCCATTCAAGTCACAGAGTGGAACATTCCCATTCATAGAGCAGGTTGGAAACACTCTTTTTGGAGTATCTGGAAGTGGACATTTGGAGCGCTTTCTGAACTATGGTGAAAAAGGAAATATCTTCCAATGAAAACAAGACAGAAGCATTCTGAGAAACTTATTTGTGATGTGTGTCCTCAACAAACGGACTTGAACCTTTCGTTTCATGCAGTACTTCTGGAACACTCTTTTTGAAGATTCTGCATGCGGATATTTGGATAGCTTTGAGGATTTCGTTGGAAACGGGCTTACATGTAAAAATTAGACAGCAGCATTCTCAGAAACTTCTTTGTGGTGTCTGCATTCAAGTCACAGAATTGAACTTCCCCTCACATAGAGCAGTTGTGCAGCACTCTATTTGTAGTATCTGGAAGTGGACATTTGGAGGGCTTTGTAGCCTATCTGGAAAAAGGAAATATCTTCCCATGAATGCGAGATAGAAGTAATCTCAGAAACATGTTTATGCTGTATCTACTCAACTAACTGTGCTGAACATTTCTATTGATAGAGCAGTTTTGAGACACTCTTCTTTTGGAATCTGCAAGTGGATATTTGGATAGATTTGAGGATTTCGTTGGAAACGGGATTATATATAAAAAGTAGACAGCAGCATTCTCAGAAACTTCTTTGTGATGTTTGCATCCAGCTCTCAGAGTTGAACATTCCCTTTCATAGAGTAGGTTTGAAACCCTCTTTTTATAGTGTCTGCAAGCGGGCATTTGGAGCGCTTTCAGGCCTATGCTTAAAATAGGAAATATCTACCTACAGAAACTAGACAGAAGCATTCTGAGAATCACGTTTGTGATGTGGGTACTCAACTAACAGTGTTGATCCATTCTTTTGATACAGCAGTTTTGAACCACACTTTTTGTAGAATCTGCAAGTGGATATTTGGATAGCTGTGAGGATTTCGTTGGAAACGGGAATGTCTTCATAGAAAATTTAGACAGAAGCATTCTCAGAACCTTGATTGTGATGTGTGTTCTCCACTAACAGAGTTGAACCTTTCTTTTGACAGAACTGTTCTGAAACATTCTTTTTATAGAATCTGGAAGTGGATATTTGGAAAGCTTTGAGGATTTCGTTGGAAACGGGAATATCTTCAAATAAAATCTAGCCAGAAGCATTCTAAGAAACATCTTAGGGATGTTTACATTCAAGTCACAGAGTTGAACATTCCCTTTCACAGAGCAGGTTTGAAACAATCTTCTCGTACTATCTGGCAGTGGACATTTTGAGCTCCTTGGGGCCTATGCTGAAAAAGGAAATATCTTCCGACAAAAACTAGACAGAAGCATTCGCAGAATCACGTTTGTGATGTGTGCACTCAACTGTCAGAATTGAACCTTGGTTTGGACAGAGCACTTTTGAAACACTCTTTTTGTAGAATCTGCAGGTGGATATTTGGCTAGCTTTGAGGATTTCGTTGGAAACGGTAATGTCTTCAAAGAAAATCTAGACAGAAGCATTCTCAGAAACACCTTCGTGATGTTTGCAATCAAGTCACAGAGTTGAACCTTCCGTTTCATAGAGCAGGTTGGAAACACTCTTTTTGTAGTATCTGGAAGTGGACATTTGGAGGGCTTTGTAGCCTATGTGGAAAAAGGAAATATCTTCCCATGAATGCGAGATAGAAGCTATCTCAGGAACTTGTTTATGATGCATCTAATCAACTAACAGTGTTGAACCTTTGTACTGACAGAGCAGTTTGAAACACTCTTTTTTTGGAATCTGCAAGTGGATATTTGGATCGCTTTGAGGATTTCGTTGGAAACGGGATGCAATATAAAACGTACACAGCAGCATACTCAGAAAATACTTTGCCATATTTCCATTCAAGTCACAGAGTGGAACATTCCCATTCATAGAGCAGGTTTGAAACACTCTTTTTGGAGTATCTGGAAGTGGACATTTGGAGCGCTTTCTGAACTATGGTGAAAAAGGAAATATCTTCCAATGAAAACAAGACAGAAGCATTCTGAGAAACTTATTTGTGATGTGTGTCCTCAACAAACGGACTTGAACCTTTCGTTTCATGCAGTACTTCTGGAACACTCTTTTTGAAGATTCTGCATGCGGATATTTGGATAGCTTTGAGGATTTCGTTGGAAACGGCCTTACATGTAAAAATTAGACAGCAGCATTCTCAGAAACTTCTTTGTGGTGTCTGCATTCAAGTCACAGAATTGAACATCCCCTCACATAGAGCAGTTGTGCAGCACTCTATTTGTAGTATCTGGAAGTGGACATTTGGAGGGCTTTGTAGCCTATCTGGAAAAAGGAAATATCTTCCCATGAATGCGAGATAGAAGTAATCTCAGAAACATGTTTATGCTGTATCTACTCAACTAACTGTGCTGAACATTTCTATTGATAGAGCAGTTTTGAGACACTCTTCTTTTGGAATCTGCAAGTGGATATTTGGATAGATTTGAGGATTTCGTTGGAAACGGGATTATATATAAAAAGTAGACAGCAGCATTCTCAGAAACTTCTTTGTGATGTTTGCATCCAGCTCTCAGAGTTGAACATTCCCTTTCATAGAGTAGGTTTGAAACCCTCTTTTTATAGTGTCTGGAAGCGGGCATTTGGAGCGCTTTCAGGCCTATGCTTAAAATAGGAAATATCTACCTACAGAAACTAGACAGAAGCATTCTGAGAATCACGTTTGTGATGTGGGTACTCAACTAACAGTGTTGATCCATTCTTTTGATACAGCAGTTTTGAACCACACTTTTTGTAGAATCTGCAAGTGGATATTTGGATAGCTGTGAGGATTTCGTTGGAAACGGGAATGTCTTCATAGAAAATTTAGACAGAAGCATTCTCAGAACCTTGATTGTGATGTGTGTTCTCCACTAACAGAGTTGAACCTTTCTTTTGACAGAACTGTTCTGAAACATTCTTTTTATAGAATCTGGAAGTGGATATTTGGAAAGCTTTGAGGATTTCGTTGGAAACGGGAATATCTTCAAATCAAATCTAGCCAGAAGCATTCTAAGAAACATCTTAGGGATGTTTACATTCAAGTCACAGAGTTGAACATTCCCTTTCACAGAGCAGGTTTGAAACAATCTTCTCGTACTATCTGGCAGTGGACATTTTGAGCTCTTTGGGGCCTATGCTGAAAAAGGAAATATCTTCCGACAAAAACTAGTCAGAAGCATTCGCAGAATCACGTTTGTGATGTGTGCACTCAACTGTCAGAATTGAACCTTGGTTTGGACAGAGCACTTTTGAAACACTCTTTTTGTAGAATCTGCAGGTGGATATTTGGCTAGCTTTGAGGATTTCGTTGGAAACGGTAATGTCTTCAAAGAAAATCTAGACAGAAGCATTCTCAGAAACACCTTCGTGATGTTTGCAATCAAGTCACAGAGTTGAACCTTCCGTTTCATAGAGCAGGTTGGAAACACTCTTTTTGTAGTATCTGGAAGTGGACATTTGGAGGGCTTTGTAGCCTATCTGGAAAAAGGAAATATCTTCCCATGAATGCGAGATAGAAGCTATCTCAGGAACTTGTTTATGATGCATCTAATCAACTAACAGTGTTGAACCTTTGTACTGACAGAGCAGTTTGAAACACTCTTTTTTTGGAATCTGCAAGTGGATATTTGGATCGCTTTGAGGATTTCGTTGGAAACGGGATGCAATATAAAACGTACACAGCAGCATACTCAGCAAAATACTTTGCCATATTTCCATTCAAGTCACAGAGTGGAACATTCCCATTCATAGAGCAGGTTGGAAACACTCTTTTTGGAGTATCTGGAAGTGGACATTTGGAGCGCTTTCTGAACTATGGTGAAAAAGGAAATATCTTCCAATGAAAACAAGACAGAAGCATTCTGAGAAACTTATTTGTGATGTGTGTCCTCAACAAACGGACTTGAACCTTTCGTTTCATGCAGTACTTCTGGAACACTCTTTTTGAAGATTCTGCATGCGGATATTTGGATAGCTTTGAGGATTTCGTTGGAAACGGGCTTACATGTAAAAATTAGACAGCAGCATTCTCAGAAACTTCTTTGTCGTGTCTGCATTCAAGTCACAGAGTTGAACTTCCCCTCACATAGAGCAGTTGTGCAGCACTCTATTTGTAGTATCTGGAAGTGGACATTTGGAGGGCTTTGTAGCCTATCTGGAAAAAGGAAATATCTTCCCATGAATGCGAGATAGAAGTAATCTCAGAAACATGTTTATGCTGTATCTACTCAACTAACTGTGCTGAACATTTCTATTGATAGAGCAGTTTTGAGACACTCTTCTTTTGGAATCTGCAAGTGGATATTTGGATAGATTTGAGGATTTCGTTGGAAACGGGATTATATATAAAAAGTAGACAGCAGCATTCTCAGAAACTTCTTTGTGATGTTTGCATCCAGCTCTCAGAGTTGAACATTCCCTTTCATAGAGTAGGTTTGAAACCCTCTTTTTATAGTGTCTGGAAGCGGGCATTTGGAGCGCTTTCAGGCCTATGCTGAAAAAGGAGATATCTACCTATAGAAACTAGACAGAAGCATTCTGAGAATCACGTTTGTGATGTGGGTACTCAACTAACAGTGTTGATCCATTCTTTTGATACAGCAGTTTTGAACCACACTTTTTGTAGAATCTGCAAGTGGATATTTGGATAGCTGTGAGGATTTCGTTGGAAACGGGAATGTCTTCATAGAAAATTTAGACAGAAGCATTCTCAGAACCTTGATTGTGATGTGTGTTCTCCACTAACAGAGTTGAACCTTTCTTTTGACAGAACTGTTCTGAAACATTCTTTTTATAGAATCTGGAAGTGGATATTTGGAAAGCTTTGAGGATTTCGTTGGAAACGGGAATATCTTCAAATAAAATCTAGCCAGAAGCATTCTAAGAAACATCTTAGGGATGTTTACATTCAAGTCACAGAGTTGAACATTCCCCTTTCTCAGAGCAGGTTTGAAACAATCTTCTCGTACTATCTGGCAGTGGACATTTTGAACTCCTTGGGGCCTATGCTGAAAAAGGAAATATCTTCTGACAAAAACTAGACAGAAGCATTCGCAGAATCACGTTTGTGATGTGTGCACTCAACTGTCAGAATTGAACCTTTGTTTGGACAGAGCACTTTTGAAACTCTCTTTGTAGAATCTGCAGGTGGATATTTGGCTAGCTTTGAGGATTTCTTTGGAAACGGTAATGTCTTCGAAGAAAATCTAGACAGAAACATCCTCAGAAACACCTTCGTGATGTTTGCAATCAAGTCACAGAGTTGAACCTTCCGTTTCATAGAGCAGGTTGGAAACACTCTTATTGTAGTATCTGGAAGTGGACATTTGGAGCGCTTTCAGGCCTATGGTGTAAAAGGAAATATCTTCCCATAAAAGCGACATAGAAGCTATCTCAGGAACTTGTTTATGATGCATCTAATCAACTAACAGTGTTGAACCTTTGTACTGACAGAGCAGTATGAAACACTCTTTTTTTGGAATCTGCAAGTGGATATTTGGATCGCTTTGAGGATTTCGTTGGAAACGGGATGCAATATAAAACGTACACAGCAGCATACTCAGAAAATACTTTGCCATATTTCCATTCAAGTCACAGAGTGGAACATTCCCATTCATAGAGCAGGTTTGAAACACTCTTTTTGGAGTATCTGGAAGTGGACATTTGGAGCGCTTTCTGAACTATGGTGAAAAAGGAAATATCTTCCAATGAAAACAAGACAGAAGCATTCTGAGAAACTTATTTGTGATGTGTGTCCTCAACTAACGGACTTGAACCTTTCGTTTCATGCAGTACTTCTGGAACACTCTTTTTGAAGATTCTGCAT
This sequence comes from Homo sapiens, assembly GCF_000001405.40. Classification (NCBI taxonomy): domain Eukaryota; kingdom Metazoa; phylum Chordata; class Mammalia; order Primates; family Hominidae; genus Homo; species Homo sapiens. The sequence goes on from NC_000008.11 coordinate 45,803,374, forward strand.
GCGGATATTTGGATAGCTTTGAGGATTTCGTTGGAAATGGGCTTACATATAAAAATTAGACAGCAGCATTCTCAGAAACTTCTTTGTGGTGTCTGCATTCAAGTCACAGAATTGAACATCCCCTCACATAGAGCAGCTGTGCAGCACTCTATTTGTAGTATCTCGAAGTGGACATTTGGAGGGCTTTGTAGCCTATCTGGAAAAAGGAAATATCTTCCCATGAATGCGAGATAGAAGTAATCTCAGAAACATGTTTATGCTGTATCTACTCAACTAACTGTGCTGAACATTTCTATTGATAGAGCAGTTTTGAGACACTCTTCTTTTGGAATCTGCAAGTGGATATTTGGATAGATTTGAGGATTTCGTTGGAAACGGGATTATATATAAAAAGTAGACAGCAGCATTCTCAGAAACTTCTTTGTGATGTTTGCATCCAGCTCTCAGAGTTGAACATTCCCTTTCATAGAGTAGGTTTGAAACCCTCTTTTTATAGTGTCTGGAAGCGGGCATTTGGAGCGCTTTCAGGCCTATGCTTAAAATAGGAAATATCTACCTACAGAAACTAGACAGAAGCATTCTGAGAATCACGGTTGTGATGTGGGTACTCAACTAACAGTGTTGATCCATTCTTTTGATACAGCAGTTATGAACCACACTTTTTGTAGAATCTGCAAGTGGATATTTGGATAGCTGTGAGGATTTCCTTGGAAACGGGAATGTCTTCATAGAAAATTTAGACAGAAGCATTCTCAGAACCTTGATTGTGATGTGTGTTCTCCACTAACAGGGTTGAACCTTTCTTTTGACAGAACTGTTTTGAAACATTCTTTTTATAGAATCTGGAAGTGGATATTTGGAAAGCTTTGAGGATTTCATTGGAAACGGGAATATCTTCAAATCAAATCTAGCCAGAAGCATTCTAAGAAACATCTTAGGGATGTTTACATTCAAGTCACAGAGTTGAACATTCCCTTTCACAGAGCAGGTTTGAAACAATCTTCTCGTACTATCTGGCAGTGGACATTTTGAGCTCCTTGGGGCCTATGCTGAAAAAGGAAATATCTTCCGACAAAAACTAGACAGAAGCATTCGCAGAATCACGTTTGTGATGTGTGCACTCAACTGTCAGAATTGAACCTTGGTTTGGAGAGAGCACTCTTGAAACACTCTTTTTGTAGAATCTGCAGGTGGATATTTGGCTAGCTTTGAGGATTTCGTTGGAAACGGTAATGTCTTCAAAGAAAATCTAGACAGAAGCATTCTCAGAAACACCCTTCGTGATGTTTGCAATCAAGTCACAGAGTTGAACCTTCCGTTTCATAGAGCAGGTTGGAAACACTCTTATTGTAGTATCTGGAAGTGGACATTTGGAGCGCTTTCAGGCCTATGGTGAAAAAGGAAATATCTTCCCATAAAAACAACATAGAAGCTATCTCAGGAACTTGTTTATGAGGCATCTAATCAACTAACAGTGTTGAACCTTTGTACTGACAGAGCAGTTTGAAACACTCTTTTTTTGGAATCTGCAAGTGGATATTTGGATCGCTTTGAGGATTTCGTTGGAAACGGTATGCAATATAAAACGTACACAGCAGCATACTCAGAAAATTCTTTGCCATATTTCCATTCAAGTCACAGAGTGGAACATTCCCATTCATAGAGCAGGTTGGAAACACTCTTTTTGGAGTATCTGGAAGTGGACATTTGGAGCGCTTTCTGAACTATGGTGAAAAAGGAAATATCTTCCAATGAAAACAAGACAGAAGCATTCTGAGAAACTTATTTGTGATGTGTGTCCTCAACAAACGGACTTGAACCTTTCGTTTCATGCAGTACTTCTGGAACACTCTTTTTGAAGATTCTGCATGCGGATATTTGGATAGCTTTGAGGATTTCGTTGGAAACGGGCTTACATGTAAAAATTAGACAGCAGCATTCTCAGAAACTTCTTTGTGGTGTCTGCATTCAAGTCACAGAATTGAACTTCCCCTCACATAGATCAGTTGTGCAGCACTCTATTTGTAGTATCTGGAAGTGGACATTTGGAGGGCTTTGTAGCCTATCTGGAAAAAGGAATTATCTTCCCATGAATGCGAGATAGAAGTAATCTCAGAAACATGTTTATGCTGTATCTACTCAACTAACTGTGCTGAACATTTCTATTGATAGAGCAGTTTTGAGACACTCTTCTTTTGGAATCTGCAAGTGGATATTTGGATAGATTTGAGGATTTCGTTGGAAACGGGATTATATATAAAAAGTAGACAGCAGCATTCTCAGAAACTTCTTTGTGATGTTTGCATCCAGCTCTCAGAGTTGAACATTCCCTTTCATAGAGTAGGTTTGAAACCCTCTTTTTATAGTGTCTGGAAGCGGGCATTTGGAGCGCTTTCAGGCCTATGCTGAAAAAGGAAATATCTACCTATAGAAACTAGACAGAAGCATTCTGAGAATCACGTTTGTGATGTGGGTACTCAACTAACAGTGTTGATCCATTCTTTTGATACAGCAGTTTTGAACCACACTTTTTGTAGAATCTGCAAGTGGATATTTGGATAGCTGTGAGGATTTCGTTGGAAACGGGAATGTCTTCATAGAAAATTTAGACAGAAGCATTCTCAGAACCTTGATTGTGATGTGTGTTCTCCACTAACAGAGTTGAACCTTTCTTTTGACAGAACTGTTCTGAAACATTCTTTTTATAGAATCTGGAAGTGGATATTTGGAAAGCTTTGAGGATTTCGTTGGAAACGGGAATATCTTCAAATCAAATCTAGCCAGAAGCATTCTAAGAAACAGCTTAGGGATGTTTACATTCAAGTCACAGAGTTGAACATTCCCTTTCACAGAGCAGGTTTGAAACAATCTTCTCGTACTATCTGGCAGTGGACATTTTGAGCTCTTTGGGGCCTATGCTGAAAAAGGAAATATCTTCCGACAAAAACTAGACAGAAGCATTCGCAGAATCACGTTTGTGATGTGTGCACTCAACTGTCAGAAGTGAACCTTGGTTTGGAGAGAGCACTTTTGAAACACACTTTTTGTAGAATCTGCAGGTGGATATTTGGCTAGCTTTGAGGATTTCGTTGGAAACGGTAATGTCTTCAAAGAAAATCTAGACAGAAGCATTCTCAGAAACACCTTCGTGATGTTTGCAATCAAGTCACAGAGTTGAACCTTCCGTTTCATAGAGCAGGTTGGAAACACTCTTATTGTAGTATCTGGAAGTGGACATTTGGAGCGCTTTCAGGCCTATGGTGAAAAAGGAAATATCTTCCCATAAAAACGACATAGAAGCTATCTCAGGAACTTGTTTATGATGCATCTAATCAACTAACAGTGTTGAACCTTTGTACTGACAGAGCAGTTTGAAACACTCTTTTTTTGGAATCTGCAAGTGGATATTTGGATTGCTTTGAGGATTTCGTTGGAAACGGGATGCAATATAAAACGTACACAGCAGCATACTCAGAAAATACTTTGCCATATTTCCATTCAAGTCACAGAGTGGAACATTCCCATTCATAGAGCAGGTTGGAAACACTCTTTTTGGAGTATCTGGAAGTGGACATTTGGAGCGCTTTCTGAACTATGGTGAAAAAGGAAATATCTTCCAATGAAAACAAGACAGAAGCATTCTGAGAAACTTATTTGTGATGCGTGTCCTCAACTAACGGACTCGAAGCTTTCATTTCATGCAGTACTTCTGGAACACTCTTTTTGAAGATTCTGCATGCGGATATTTGGTTAGCATTGAGGATTTCGTTGGAAACGGGCTTACATATAAAAATTAGACAGCAGCATTCTCAGAAACTTCTTTGTGGTGTCTGCATTCAAGTCACAGAATTGAACATCCCCTCACATAGAGCAGTTGTGCAGCACTCTATTTTTAGTATCTCGAAGTGGACATTTGGAGGGCTTTGTAGCCTATCTGGAAAAAGGAAATATCTTCCCATGAATGCGAGATAGAAGTAATCTCAGAAACATGTTTATGCTGTATCTACTCAACTAACTGTGCTGAACATTTCTATTGATAGAGCAGTTTTGAGACACTCTTCTTTTGGAATCTGCAAGTGGATATTTGGCTAGATTTGAGGATTTCGTTGGAAACGGGATTATATATCAAAAGTAGACAGCAGCATTCTCAGAAACTTCTTTGTGATGTTTGCATCCAGCTCTCAGAGTTGAACATTCCCTTTCATAGAGTAGGTTTGAAACCCCCTTTTTATAGTGTCTGGAAGCGGGCATTTGGAGCGCTTTCAGGCCTATGCTGAAAAAGGAAATATCTACCTACAGAAACTAGACAGAAGCATTCTGAGAATCACGTTTGTGATGTGGGTACTCAACTAACAGTGTTGATCCATTCTTTTGATACAGCAGTTTTGAACCACCCTTTTTGTAGAATCTGCAAGTGGATATTTGGATAGCTGTGAGGATTTCGTTGGAAACGGGAATGTCTTCATAGAAAATTTAGACAGAAGCATTCTCAGAACCTTGATTGTGATGTGTGTTGTCCAATAACAGGGTTGAACCTTTCTTTTGACAGAACTGTTTTGAAACATACTTTTTATAGAATCTGGAAGTGGATATTTGGAAAGCTTTGAGGATTTCGTTGGAAACGGGAATATCTTCAAATAAAATCTAGCCAGAAGCATTCTAAGAAACATCTTAGGGATGTTTACATTCAAGTCACAGAGTTGAACATTCCCTTTCACAGAGCAGGTTTGAAACAATCTTCTCGTACTATCTGGAAGTGGACATTTTGAGCTCCTTGGGGCCTATGCTGAGAAAGGAAATATCTTCCGACAAAAACTAGACAGAAGCATTCGCAGAATCACGTTTGTGATGTGTGCACTCAACTGTCAGAATTGAACCTTGGTTTGGACAGAGCACTTTTGAAACACTCTTTTTGTAGAATCTGCAGGTGGATATTTGGCTAGCTTTGAGGATTTCGTTGGAAACGGTAATGTCTTCAAAGAAAATCTAGACAGAAGCATTCTCAGAAACACCTTCGTGATGTTTGCAATCAAGTCACAGAGTTGAACCTTCCGTTTCATAGAGCAGGTTGGAAACACTCTTTTTGTAGTATCTGGAAGTGGACATTTGGAGCGCTTTCAGGCCTATGGTGAAAAAGGAAATATCTTCCCATAAAAACGACATAGAAGCTATCTCAGGAACTTGTTTATGAGGCATCTAATCAACTAACAGTGTTGAACCTTTGTACTGACAGAGCAGTTTGAAACACTCTTTTTTTGGAATCTGCAAGTGGATATTTGGATCGCTTTGAGGATTTCGTTGGAAACGGGATGCAATATAAAACGTACACAGCAGCATACTCAGAAAATACTTTGCCATATTTCCATTCAAGTCACAGAGTGGAACATTCCCATTCATAGAGCAGGTTTGAAACACTCTTTTTGGAGTATCTGGAAGTGGACATTTGGAGCGCTTTCTGAACTATGGTGAAAAAGGAAATATCTTCCAATGAAAACAAGACAGAAGCATTCTGAGAAACTTATTTGTGATGTGTGTCCTCAACTAACGGACTTGAACCTTTCGTTTCATGCAGTACTTCTGGAACACTCTTTTTGAAGATTCTGCATGCGGATATTTGGATAGCTTTGAGGATTTCGTTGGAAACGGGCTTACATATAAAAATTAGACAGCAGCATTCTCAGAAACTTCTTTGTGGTGTCTGCATTCAAGTCACAGAATTGAACTTCCCCTCACATAGAGCAGTTGTGCAGCACTCTATTTGTAGTATCTGGAAGTGGACATTTGGAGGGCTTTGTAGCCTATCTGGAAAAAGGAAATATCTTCCCATGAATGCGAGATAGAAGTAATCTCAGAAACATGTTTATGCTGTATCTACTCAACTAACTGTGCTGAACATTTCTATTGATAGAGCAGTTTTGAGACACTCTTCTTTTGGAATCTGCAAGTGGATATTTGGATAGATTTGAGGATTTCGTTGGAAACGGGATTATATATAAAAAGTAGACAGCAGCATTCTCAGAAACTTCTTTGTGATGTTTGCATCCAGCTCTCAGAGTTGAACATTCCCTTTCATAGAGTAGGTTTGAAACCCTCTTTTTATAGTGTCCGGAAGCGGGCATTTGGAGCGCTTTCAGGCCTATGCTGAAAAAGGAAATATCTACATATAGAAACTAGACAGAAGCATTCTGAGAATCACGTTTGTGATGTGGGTACTCAACTAACAGTGTTGATCCATTCTTTTGATACAGCAGTTTTGAACCACACTTTTTGTAGAATCTGCAAGTGGATATTTGGATAGCTGTGAGGATTTCGTTGGAAACGGGAATGTCTTCATAGAAAATTTAGACAGAAGCATTCTCAGAACCTTGATTGTGATGTGTGTTCTCCACTAACAGAGTTGAACCTTTCTTTTGACAGAACTGTTCTGAAACATTCTTTTTATAGAATCTGGAAGTGGATATTTGGAAAGCTTTGAGGATTTCGTTGGAAACGGGAATATCTTCAAATAAAATCTAGCCAGAAGCATTCTAAGAAACATCTTAGGGATGTTTACATTCAAGTCACAGGGTTGAACATTCCCTTTCACAGAGCAGGTTTGAAACAATCTTCTCGTACTATCTGGAAGTGGACATTTTGAGCTCCTTGGGGCCTATGCTGAAAAAGGAAATATCTTCCGACAAAAACTAGACAGAAGCATTCGCAGAATCACGTTTGTGATGTGTGCACTGAACTGTCAGAATTGAACCTTGGTTTGGACAGAGCACTTTTGAAACACTCTTTTTGTAGAATCTGCAGGTGGATATTTGGCTAGCTTTGAGGATTTCGTTGGAAACGGTAATGTCTTCAAAGAAAATCTAGACAGAAACATTCTCAGAAACACCTTCGTGATGTTTGCAATCAAGTCACAGAGTTGAACCTTCCGTTTCATAGAGCAGGTTGGAAACACTCTTTTTGTAGTATCTGGAAGTGGACATTTGGAGCGCTTTCAGGCCTACGGTGAAAAAGGAAATATCTTCCCATAAAAATGACATAGAAGCTATCTCAGGATCTTGTTTATGATGCATCTAATCAACTAACAGTGTTGAACCTTTGTACTGACAGAGCACTTTGAAACACTCTTTTTTTGGAATCTGCAAGTGGATATTTGGATCGCTTTGAGGATTTCGTTGGAAACGGGATGCAATATAAAACGTACACAGCAGCATACTCAGAAAATACTTTGCCATATTTCCATTCAAGTCACAGAGTGGAACATTCCCATTCATAGAGCAGGTTGGAAACACTCTTTTTGGAGTATCTGGAAGTGGACATTTGGAGCGCTTTCTGAACTATGGTGAAAAAGGAAATATCTTCCAATGAAAACAAGACAGAAGCATTCTGAGAAACTTATTTGTGATGTGTGTCCTCAACAAACGGACTTGAACCTTTCGTTTCATGCAGTACTTCTGGAACACTCTTTTTGAAGATTCTGCATGCGGATATTTGGATTGCTTTGAGGATTTCGTTGGAAACGGGCTTACATGTAAAAATTAGACAGCAGCATTCTCAGAAACTTCTTTGTGGTGTCTGCATTCAAGTCACAGAATTGAACATCCCCTCACATAGAGCAGTTGTGCAGCACTCTATTTGTAGTATCTCGAAGTGGACATTTGGAGGGCTTTGTAGCCTATCTGGAAAAAGGAAATATCTTCCCATGAATGCGAGATAGAAGTAATCTGAGAAACATATTTATGCTGTATCTACTCAACTAACTGTGCTGAACATTTCTATTGATAGAGCAGTTTTGAGACACTCTTCTTTTGGAATCTGCAAGTGGATATTTGGATAGATTTGAGGATTTCGTTGGAAACGGGATTATATATAAAAAGTAGACAGCAGCATTCTCAGGAAACTTCTTTGTGATGTTTGCATCCAGCTCTCAGAGTTGAACATTCCCTTTCATAGAGTAGGTTTGAAACCCTCTTTTTATAGTGTCTGGAAGCGGGCATTTGGAGCGCTTTCAGGCCTATGCTGAAAAAGGAAATATCTACCTATAGAAACTAGACAGAAGCATTCTGAGAATCACGTTTGTGATGTGGGTACTCAACTAACAGTGTTGATCCATTCTTTTGATACAGCAGTTTTGAACCACACTTTTTGTAGAATCTGCAAGTGGATATTTGGATAGCTGTGAGGATTTCGTTGGAAACGGGAATGTCTTCATAGAAAATTTAGACAGAAGCATTCTCAGAACCTTGATTGTGATGTGTGTTCTCCACTAACAGAGTTGAACCTTTCTTTTGACAGAACTGTTCTGAAACATTCTTTTTATAGAATCTGGAAGTGGATATTTGGAAAGCTTTGAGGATTTCGTTGGAAACGGGAATATCTTCAAATAAAATCTAGCCAGAAGCATTCTAAGAAACATCTTAGGGATGTTTACATTCAAGTCACAGAGTTGAACATTCCCTTTCACAGAGCAGGTTTGAAACAATCTTCTCGTACTATCTGGCAGTGGACATTTTGAGCTCCTTGGGGCCTATGCTGAAAAAGGAAATATCTTCCGACAAAAACTAGACAGAAGCATTCGCAGAATCACGTTTGTGATGTGTGCACTCAACTGTCAGAATTGAACCTTGGTTTGGACAGAGCACTTTTGAAACACTCTTTTTGTAGAATCTGCAGGTGGATATTTGGCTAGCTTTGAGGATTTCGTTGGAAACGGTAATGTCTTCAAAGAAAATCTAGACAGAAGCATTCTCAGAAACACCTTCGTGATGTTTGCAATCAAGTCACAGAGTTGAACCTTCCGTTTCATAGAGCAGGTTGGAAACACTCTTATTGTAGTATCTGGAAGGGGACATTTGGAGCGCTTTCAGGCCTATGGTGAAAAAGGAAATATCTTCCCATAAAAACGACATAGAAGCTGTCTCAGGAACTTGTTTATGATGCATCTAATCAACTAACAGTGTTGAACCTTTGTACTGACAGAGCAGTTTGAAACACTCTTTTTTTGGAATCTGCAAGTGGATATTTGGATCGCTTTGAGGATTTCGTTGGAAACGGGATGCAATATAAAACGTACACAGCAGCATACTCAGAAAATACTTTGCCATATTTCCATTCAAGTCACAGAGTGGAACATTCCCATTCATAGAGCAGGTTGGAAAAACTCCTTTTGTAGTATCTGGAAGTGGACATTTGGAGCGCTTTCTGAACTATGGTGAAAAAGGAAATATCTTCCAATGAAAACAAGACAGAAGCATTCTGAGAAACTTATTTGTGATGTGTGTCCTCAACTAACGGACTTGAACCTTTCGTTTCATGCAGTACTTCTGGAACACTCTTTTTGAAGATTCTGCATGCGGATATTTGGATAGCTTTGAGGATTTCGTTGGAAACGGGCTTACATATAAAAATTAGACAGCAGCATTCTCAGAAACTTCTTTGTGGTGTCTGCATTCAAGTCACAGAATTGAACATCCCCTCACATAGAGCAGTTGTGCAGCACTCTATTTGTAGTATCTGGAAGTGGACATTTGGAGGGCTTTGTAGCCTATCTGGAAAAAGGAAATATCTTCCCATGAATGCGAGATAGAAGTAATCTCAGAAACATGTTTATGCTGTATCTACTCAACTAACTGTGCTGAACATTTCTATTGATAGAGCAGTTTTGAGACACTCTTCTTTTGGAATCTGCAAGTGGATATTTGGATAGATTTGAGGATTTCGTTGGAAACGGGATTATATATAAAAAGTAGACAGCAGCATTCTCAGAAACTTCTTTGTGATGTTTGCATCCAGCTCTCAGAGTTGAACATTCCCTTTCATAGAGTAGGTTTGAAACCCTCTTTTTATAGTGTCTGGAAGCGGGCATTTGGAGCGCTTTCAGGCCTATGCTTAAAATAGGAAATATCTACCTACAGAAACTAGACAGAAGCATTCTGAGAATCACGTTTGTGATGTGGGTACTCAACTAACAGTGTTGATCCATTCTTTTGATACAGCAGTTTTGAACCACACTTTTTGTAGAATCTGCAAGAGGATATTTGGATAGCTGTGAGGATTTCGTTGGAAACGGGAATGTCTTCAAAGAAAATCTAGACAGAAGCATTCTCAGAACCTTGATTGTGATGTGTGTTCTCCACTAACAGAGTTGAACCTTTCTTTTGACAGAACTGTTCTGAAACATTCTTTTTATAGAATCTGGAAGTGGATATTTGGAAAGCTTTGAGGATTTCGTTGGAAACGGGAATATCTTCAAATCAAATCTAGCCAGAAGCATTCTAAGAAACATCTTAGGGATGTTTACATTCAAGTCACAGAGTTGAACATTCCCTTTCACAGAGCAGGTTTGAAACAATCTTCTCGTACTATCTGGCAGTGGACATTTTGAGCTCCTTGGGGCCTATGCTGAAAAAGGAAATATCTTCCGACAAAAACTAGACAGAAGCATTCGCAGAATCACGTTTGTGATGTGTGCACTCAACTGTCAGAATTGAACCTTGGTTTGGACAGAGCACTTTTGAAACACTCTTTTTGTAGAATCTGCAGGTGGATATTTGGATAGCTGTGAGGATTTCGTTGGAAACGGTAATGTCTTCAAAGAAAATCTAGACAGAAGCATTCTCAGAAACACCTTCGTGATGTTTGCAATCAAGTCACAGAGTTGAACCTTCCGTTTCATAGAGCAGGTTGGAAACACTCTTTTTGTAGTATCTGGAAGTGGACATTTGGAGCGCTTTCAGGCCTATGGTGAAAAAGGAAATATCTTCCCATAAAAACGACATAGAAGCTATCTCAGGAACTTGTTTATGATGCATCTAATCAACTAACAGTGTTGAACCTTTGTACTGACAGAGCAGTTTGAAACACTCTTTTTTTGGAATCTGCAAGTGGATATTTGGATCGCTTTGAGGATTTCGTTGGAAACGGGATGCAATATAAAACGTACACAGCAGCATACTCAGAAAATACTTTGCCATATTTCCATTCAAGTCACAGAGTGGAACATTCCCATTCATAGAGCAGGTTTGAAACACTCTTTTTGGAGTATCTGGAAGTGGACATTTGGAGCGCTTTCTGAACTATGGTGAAAAAGGAAATATCTTCCAATGAAAACAAGACAGAAGCATTCTGAGAAACTTATTTGTGATGTGTGTCCTCAACAAACGGACTTGAACCTTTCGTTTCATGCAGTACTTCTGGAACACTCTTTTTGAAGATTCTGCATGCGGATATTTGGATAGCTTTGAGGATTTCGTTGGAAACGGGCTTACATGTAAAAATTAGACAGCAGCATTCTCAGAAACTTCTTTGTGGTGTCTGCATTCAAGTCACAGAATTGAACATCCCCTCACATAGAGCAGTTGTGCAGCACTCTATTTGTAGTATCTGGAAGTGGACATTTGGAGGGCTTTGTAGCCTATGTGGAAAAAGGAAATATCTTCCCATGAATGCGAGATAGAAGTAATCTCAGAAACATGTTTATGCTGTATCTACTCAACTAACTGTGCTGAACATTTCTATTGATAGAGCAGTTTTGAGACACTCTTCTTTTGGAATCTGCAAGTGGATATTTGGATAGATTTGAGGATTTCGTTGGAAACGGGATTATATATCAAAAGTAGACAGCAGCATTCTCAGAAACTTCTTTGTGATGTTTGCATCCAGCTCTCAGAGTTGAACATTCCCTTTCATAGAGTAGGTTTGAAACCCTCTTTTTATAGTGTCTGGAAGCGGGCATTTGGAGCGCTTTCAGGCCTATGCTGAAAAAGGAAATATCTACCTATAGAAACTAGACAGAAGCATTCTGAGAATCACGTTTGTGATGTGGGTACTCAACTAACAGTGTTGATCCATTCTTTTGATACAGCAGTTTTGAACCACACTTTTTGTAGAATCTGCAAGTGGATATTTGGATAGCTGTGAGGATTTCGTTGGAAACGGGAATGTCTTCATAGAAAATTTAGACAGAAGCATTCTCAGAACCTTGATTGTGATGTGTGTTCTCCACTAACAGAGTTGAACCTTTCTTTTGACAGAACTGTTCTGAAACATTCTTTTTATAGAATCTGGAAGTGGATATTTGGAAAGCTTTGAGGATTTCGTTGGAAACGGGAATATCTTCAAATAAAATCTAGCCAGAAGCATTCTAAGAAACATCTTAGGGATGTTTACATTCAAGTCACAGAGTTGAACATTCCCTTTCACAGAGCAGGTTTGAAACAATCTTCTCGTACTATCTGGCAGTGGACATTTTGAGCTCCTTGGGGCCTATGCTGAAAAAGGAAATATCTTCCGACAAAAACTAGACAGAAGCATTCGCAGAATCACGTTTGTGATGTGTGCACTCAACTGTCAGAATTGAACCTTGGTTTGGACAGAGCACTTTTGAAACACTCTTTTTGTAGAATCTGCAGGTGGATATTTGGCTAGCTTTGAGGATTTCGTTGGAAACGGTAATGTCTTCAAAGAAAATCTAGACAGAAGCATTCTCAGAAACACCTTCGTGATGTTTGCAATCAAGTCACAGAGTTGAACCTTCCGTTTCATAGAGCAGGTTGGAAACACTCTTATTGTAGTATCTGGAAGTGGACATTTGGAGCGCTTTCAGGCCTATGGTGAAAAAGGAAATATCTTCCCATAAAAACGACATAGAAGCTATCTCACGAACTTGTTTATGATGCATCTAATCAACTAACAGTGTTGAACCTTTGTACTGACAGAGCAGTTTGAAACACTCTTTTTTTGGAATCTGCAAGTGGATATTTGGATCGCTTTGAGGATTTCGTTGGAAACGGGATGCAATATAAAACGTACACAGCAGCATACTCAGAAAATACTTTGCCATATTTCCATTCAAGTCACAGAGTGGAACATTCCCATTCATAGAGCAGGTTTGAAACACTCTTTTTGGAGTATCTGGAAGTGGACATTTGGAGCGCTTTCTGAACTATGGTGAAAAAGGAAATATCTTCCAATGAAAACAAGACAGAAGCATTCTGAGAAACTTATTTGTGATGTGTGTCCTCAACAAACGGACTTGAACCTTTCGTTTCATGCAGTACTTCTGGAACACTCTTTTTGAAGATTCTGCATGCGGATATTTGGATAGCTTTGAGGATTTCGTTGGAAACGGGCTTACATGTAAAAATTAGACAGCAGCATTCTCAGAAACTTCTTTGTGGTGTCTGCATTCAAGTCACAGAATTGAACTTCCCCTCACATAGAGCAGTTGTGCAGCACTCTATTTGTAGTATCTGGAAGTGGACATTTGGAGGGCTTTGTAGCCTATCTGGAAAAAGGAAATATCTTCCCATGAATGCGAGATAGAAGTAATCTCAGAAACATGTTTATGCTGTATCTACTCAACTAACTGTGCTGAACATTTCTATTGATAGAGCAGTTTTGAGACACTCTTCTTTTGGAATCTGCAAGTGGATATTTGGAGAGATTTGAGGATTTCGTTGGAAACGGGATTATATATAAAAAGTAGACAGCAGCATTCTCAGAAACTTCTTTGTGATGTTTGCATCCAGCTCTCAGAGTTGAGCATTCCCTTTCATAGAGTAGGTTTGAAACCCTCTTTTTATAGTGTCTGGAAGCGGGCATTTGGAGCGCTTTCAGGCCTATGCTTAAAATAGGAAATATCTACCTACAGAAACTAGACAGAAGCATTCTGAGAATCACGTTTGTGATGTGGGTACTCAACTAACAGTGTTGATCCATTCTTTTGATACAGCAGTTTTGAACCACACTTTTTGTAGAATCTGCAAGTGGATATTTGGATAGCTGTGAGGATTTCGTTGGAAACGGGAATGTCTTCATAGAAAATTTAGACAGAAGCATTCTCAGAACCTTGATTGTGATGTGTGTTCTCCACTAACAGAGTTGAACCTTTCTTTTGACAGAACTGTTCTGAAACATTCTTTTTATAGAATCTGGAAGTGGATATTTGGAAAGCTTTGAGGATTTCATTGGAAACGGGAATATCTTCAAATAAAATCTAGCCAGAAGCATTCTAAGAAACATCTTAGGGATGTTTACATTCAAGTCACAGAGTTGAACATTCCCTTTCACAGAGCAGGTTTGAAACAATCTTCTCGTACTATCTGGCAGTGGACATTTTGAGCTCCTTGGGGCCTATGCTGAAAAAGGAAATATCTTCCGACAAAAACTAGACAGAAGCATTCGCAGAATCACGTTTGTGATGTGTGCACTCAACTGTCAGAATTGAACCTTGGTTTGGACAGAGCACTTTTGAAACACTCTTTTTGTAGAATCTTCAGGTGGATATTTGGCTAGCTTTGAGGATTTCGTTGTAAACGGTAATGTCTTCAAAGAAAATCTAGACAGAAGCATTCTCAGAAACACCTTCGTGATGTTTGCAATCAAGTCACAGAGTTGAACCTTCCGTTTCATAGAGCAGGTTGGAAACACTCTTATTGTAGTATCTGGAAGTGGACATTTGGAGCGCTTTCAGGCCTATGGTGAAAAAGGAAATATCTTCCCATAAAAACGACATAGAAGCTATCTCAGGAACTTGTTTATGATGCATCTAATCAACTAACAGTGTTGAACCTTTGTACTGACAGAGCAGTTTGAAACACTCTTTTTTTGGAATCTGCAAGTGGATATTTGGATCGCTTTGAGGATTTCGTTGGAAACGGGATGCAATATAAAACGTACACAGCAGCATACTCAGAAAATACTTTGCCATATTTCCATTCAAGTCACAGAGTGGAACATTCCCATTCATAGAGCAGGTTGGAAACACTCTTTTTGGAGTATCTGGAAGTGGACATTTGGAGCGCTTTCTGAACTATGGTGAAAAAGGAAATATCTTCCAATGAAAACAAGACAGAAGCATTCTGAGAAACTTATTTGTGATGTGTGTCCTCAACAAACGGACTTGAACCTTTCGTTTCATGCAGTACTTCTGGAACACTCTTTTTGAAGATTCTGCATGCGGATATTTGGATAGCTTTGAGGATTTCATTGGAAACGGGCTTACATGTAAAAATTAGACAGCAGCATTCTCAGAAACTTCTTTGTGGTGTCTGCATTCAAGTCACAGAATTGAACTTCCCCTCACATAGAGCAGTTGTGCAGCACTCTATTTGTAGTATCTGGAAGTGGACATTTGGAGGGCTTTGTAGCCTATCTGGAAAAAGGAAATATCTTCCCATGAATGCGAGATAGAAGTAATCTCAGAAACATGTTTATGCTGTATCTACTCAACTAACTGTGCTGAACATTTCTATTGATAGAGCAGTTTTGAGACACTCTTCTTTTGGAATCTGCAAGTGGATATTTGGATAGATTTGAGGATTTCGTTGGAAACGGGATTATATATAAAAAGTAGACAGCAGCATTCTCAGAAACTTCTTTGTGATGTTTGCATCCAGCTCTCAGAGTTGAACATTCCCTTTCATAGAGTAGGTTTGAAACCCTCTTTTTATAGTGTCTGGAAGCGGGCATTTGGAGCGCTTTCAGGCCTATGCTTAAAATAGGAAATATCTACCTACAGAAACTAGACAGAAGCATTCTGAGAATCACGTTTGTGATGTGGGTACTCAACTAACAGTGTTGATCCATTCTTTTGATACAGCAGTTTTGAACCACACTTTTTGTAGAATCTGCAAGTGGATATTTGGATAGCTGTGAGGATTTCCTTGGAAACGGGAATGTCTTCATAGAAAATTTAGACAGAAGCATTCTCAGAACCTTGATTGTGATGTGTGTTCTCCACTAACAGGGTTGAACCTTTCTTTTGACAGAACTGTTTTGAAACATACTTTTTATAGAATCTGGAAGTGGATATTTGGAAAGCTTTGAGGATTTCGTTGGAAACGGGAATATCTTCAAATAAAATCTAGCCAGAAAGCATTCTAAGAAACATCTTAGGGATGTTTACATTCAAGTCACAGAGTTGAACATTCCCTTTCACAGAGCAGGTTTGAAACAATCTTCTCGTAGTATCTGGAAGTGGACATTTTGAGCTCCTTGGGGCCTATGCTGAAAAAGGAAATATCTTCCGACAAAAACTAGACAGAAGCATTCGCAGAATCACGTTTGTGATGTGTGCACTCAACTGTCAGAATTGAACCTTGGTTTGGACAGAGCACTTTTGAAACACTCTTTTTGTAGAATCTGCAGGTGGATATTTGGCTAGCTTTGAGGATTTCGTTGGAAACGGTAATGTCTTCAAAGAAAATCTAGACAGAAGCATTCTCAGAAACACCTTCGTGATGTTTGCAATCAAGTCACAGAGTTGAACCTTCCGTTTCATAGAGCAGGTTGGAAACACTCTTATTGTAGTATCTGGAAGTGGACATTTGGAGCGCTTTCAGGCCTATGGTGAAAAAGGAAATATCTTCCCATAAAAACGACATAGAAGCTATCTCAGGAACTTGTTTATGATGCATCTAATCAACTAACAGTGTTGAACCTTTGTACTGACAGAGCAGTTTGAAACACTCTTTTTTTGGAATCTGCAAGTGGATATTTGGATCGCTTTGAGGATTTCGTTGGAAACGGGATGCAATATAAAACGTACACAGCAGCATACTCAGAAAATACTTTGCCATATTTCCATTCAAGTCACAGAGTGGAACATTCCCATTCATAGAGCAGGTTGGAAACACTCTTTTTGGAGTATCTGGAAGTGGACATTTGGAGCGCTTTCTGAACTATGGTGAAAAAGGAAATATCTTCCAATGAAAACAAGACAGAAGCATTCTGAGAAACTTATTTGTGATGTGTGTCCTCAACAAACGGACTTGAACCTTTCGTTTCATGCAGTACTTCTGGAACACTCTTTTTGAAGATTCTGCATGCGGATATTTGGATAGCTTTGAGGATTTCGTTGGAAACGGGCTTACATGTAAAAATTAGACAGCAGCATTCTCAGAAACTTCTTTGTGGTGTCTGCATTCAAGTCACAGAATTGAACTTCCCCTCACATAGAGCAGTTGTGCAGCACTCTATTTGTAGTATCTGGAAGTGGACATTTGGAGGGCTTTGTAGCCTATCTGGAAAAAGGAAATATCTTCCCATGAATGCGAGATAGAAGTAATCTCAGAAACGTGTTTATGCTGTATCTACTCAACTAACTGTGCTGAACATTTCTATTGATAGAGCAGTTTTGAGACACTCTTCTTTTGGAATCTGCAAGTGGATATTTGGATAGATTTGAGGATTTCGTTGGAAACGGGATTATATATAAAAAGTAGACAGCAAGCATTCTCAGAAACTTCTTTGTGATGTTTCCATCCAGCTCTCAGAGTTGAACATTCCCTTTCATAGAGTAGGTTTGAAACCCTCTTTTTATAGTGTCTGGAAGCGGGCATTTGGAGCGCTTTCAGGCCTATGCTTAAAATAGGAAATATCTACCTACAGAAACTAGACAGAAGCATTCTGAGAATCACGTTTGTGATGTGGGTACTCAACTAACAGTGTTGATCCATTCTTTTGATACAGCAGTTTTGAACCACACTTTTTGTAGAATCTGCAAGTGGATATTTGGATAGCTGTGAGGATTTCGTTGGAAACGGGAATGTCTTCATAGAAAATTTAGACAGAAGCATTCTCAGAACCTTGATTGTGATGTGTGTTCTCCACTAACAGAGTTGAACCTTTCTTTTGACAGAACTGTTATGAAACATTCTTTTTATAGAATCTGGAAGTGGATATTTGGAAAGCTTTGAGGATTTCGTTGGAAACGGGAATATCTTCAAATAAAATCTAGCCAGAAGCATTCTAAGAAACATCTTAGGGATGTTTACATTCAAGTCACAGAGTTGAACATTCCCTTTCACAGAGCAGGTTTGAAACAATCTTCTCGTACTATCTGGCAGTGGACATTTTGAGCTCTTTGGGGCCTATGCTGAAAAAGGAAATATCTTCCGACAAAAACTAGTCAGAAGCATTCGCAGAATCACGTTTGTGATGTGTGCACTCAACTGTCAGAATTGAACCTTGGTTTGGACAGAGCACTTTTGAAACACTCTTTTTGTAGAATCTGCAGGTGGATATTTGGCTAGCTTTGAGGATTTCGTTGGAAACGGTAATGTCTTCAAAGAAAATCTAGACAGAAGCATTCTCAGAAACACCTTCGTGATGTTTGCAATCAAGTCACAGAGTTGAACCTTCCGTTTCATAGAGCAGGTTGGAAACACTCTTTTTGTAGTATCTGGAAGTGGACATTTGGAGGGCTTTGTAGCCTATGTGGAAAAAGGAAATATCTTCCCATGAATGCGAGATAGAAGCTATCTCAGGAACTTGTTTATGATGCATCTAATCAACTAACAGTGTTGAACCTTTGTACTGACAGAGCAGTTTGAAACACTCTTTTTTTGGAATCTGCAAGTGGATATTTGGATCGCTTTGAGGATTTCGTTGGAAACGGGATGCAATATAAAACGTACACAGCAGCATACTCAGAAAATACTTTGCCATATTTCCATTCAAGTCACAGAGTGGAACATTCCCATTCATAGAGCAGGTTTGAAACACTCTTTTTGGAGTATCTGGAAGTGGACATTTGGAGCGCTTTCTGAACTATGGTGAAAAAGGAAATATCTTCCAATGAAAACAAGACAGAAGCATTCTGAGAAACTTATTTGTGATGTGTGTCCTCAACAAACGGACTTGAACCTTTCGTTTCATGCAGTACTTCTGGAACACTCTTTTTGAAGATTCTGCATGCGGATATTTGGATAGCTTTGAGGATTTCGTTGGAAACGGGCTTACATGTAAAAATTAGACAGCAGCATTCTCAGAAACTTCTTTGTGGTGTCTGCATTCAAGTCACAGAATTGAACTTCCCCTCACATAGAGCAGTTGTGCAGCACTCTATTTGTAGTATCTGGAAGTGGACATTTGGAGGGCTTTGTAGCCTATCTGGAAAAAGGAAATATCTTCCCATGAATGCGAGATAGAAGTAATCTGAGAAACATGTTTATGCTGTATCTACTCAACTAACTGTGCTGAACATTTCTATTGATAGAGCAGTTTTGAGACACTCTTCTTTTGGAATCTGCAAGTGGATATTTGGATAGATTTGAGGATTTCGTTGGAAACGGGATTATATATAAAAAGTAGACAGCAGCATTCTCAGAAACTTCTTTGTGATGTTTGCATCCAGCTCTCAGAGTTGAACATTCCCTTTCATAGAGTAGGTTTGAAACCCTCTTTTTATAGTGTCTGGAAGCGGGCATTTGGAGCGCTTTCAGGCCTATGCTTAAAATAGGAAATATCTACCTACAGAAACTAGACAGAAGCATTCTGAGAATCACGTTTGTGATGTGGGTACTCAACTAACAGTGTTGATCCATTCTTTTGATACAGCAGTTTTGAACCACACTTTTTGTAGAATCTGCAAGAGGATATTTGGATAGCTGTGAGGATTTCGTTGGAAACGGGAATGTCTTCAAAGAAAATCTAGACAGAAGCATTCTCAGAACCTTGATTGTGATGTGTGTTCTCCACTAACAGAGTTGAACCTTTCTTTTGACAGAACTGTTCTGAAACATTCTTTTTATAGAATCTGGAAGTGGATATTTGGAAAGCTTTGAGGATTTCGTTGGAAACGGGAATATCTTCAAATCAAATCTAGCCAGAAGCATTCTAAGAAACAGCTTATGGATGTTTACATTCAAGTCACAGAGTTGAACATTCCCTTTCACAGAGCAGGTTTGAAACAATCTTCTCGTACTATCTGGCAGTGGACATTTTGAGCTCCTTGGGGCCTATGCTGAAAAAGGAAATATCTTCCGACAAAAACTAGACAGAAAGCATTCGCAGAATCACGTTTGTGATGTGTGCACTCAACTCTCAGAATTGAACCTTGGTTTGGACAGAGCACTTTTGAAACACTCTTTTTGTAGAATCTGTAGGTGGATATTTGGCTAGCTTTGAGGATTTCGTTGGAAACGGTAATGTCTTCAAAGAAAATCTAGACAGAAGCATTCTCAGAAACAACTTCGTGATGTTTGCAATCAAGTCACAGAGTTGAACCTTCCGTTTCATAGAGCAGGTTTGAAACACTCTTTTTGTAGTATCTGGAAGTGGACATTTGGAGGGCTTTGTAGCCTATCTGGAAAAAGGAAATATCTTCCCATGAATGCGAGATAGAAGCTATCTCAGGAACTTGTTTATGATGCATCTAATCAACTAACAGTGTTGAACCTTTGTACTGACAGAGCAGTTTGAAACACTCTTTTTTTGGAATCTGCAAGTGGATATTTGGATCGCTTTGAGGATTTCGTTGGAAACGGGATGCAATATAAAACGTACACAGCAGCAGTACTCAGAAAATACTTTGCCATATTTCCATTCAAGTCACAGAGTGGAACATTCCCATTCATAGAGCAGGTTGGAAACACTCTTTTTGGAGTATCTGGAAGTGGACATTTGGAGCGCTTTCTGAACTATGGTGAAAAAGGAAATATCTTCCAATGAAAACAAGACAGAAGCATTCTGAGAAACTTATTTGTGATGTGTGTCCTCAACAAACGGACTTGAACCTTTCGTTTCATGCAGTACTTCTGGAACACTCTTTTTGAAGATTCTGCATGCGGATATTTGGATAGCTTTGAGGATTTCGTTGGAAACGGGCTTACATGTAAAAATTAGACAGCAGCATTCTCAGAAACTTCTTTGTGGTGTCTGCATTCAAGTCACAGAATTGAACTTCCCCTCACATAGAGCAGTTGTGCAGCACTCTATTTGTAGTATCTGGAAGTGGACATTTGGAGGGCTTTGTAGCCTATCTGGAAAAAGGAAATATCTTCCCATGAATGCGAGATAGAAGTAATCTCAGAAACGTGTTTATGCTGTATCTACTCAACTAACTGTGCTGAACATTTCTATTGATAGAGCAGTTTTGAGACACTCTTCTTTTGGAATCTGCAAGTGGATATTTGGATAGATTTGAGGATTTCGTTGGAAACGGGATTATATATAAAAAGTAGACAGCAGCATTCTCAGAAACTTCTTTGTGATGTTTGCATCCAGCTCTCAGAGTTGAACATTCCCTTTCATAGAGTAGGTTTGAAACCCTCTTTTTATAGTGTCTGGAAGCGGGCCTTTGGAGCGCTTTCAGGCCTATGCTTAAAATAGGAAATATCTACCTACAGAAACTAGACAGAAGCATTCTGAGAATCACGTTTGTGATGTGGGTACTCAACTAACAGTGTTGATCCATTCTTTTGATACAGCAGTTTTGAACCACACTTTTTGTAGAATCTGCAAGAGGATATTTGGATAGCTGTGAGGATTTCGTTGGAAACGGGAATGTCTTCAAAGAAAATCTAGACAGAAGCATTCTCAGAACCTTGATTGTGATGTGTGTTCTCCACTAACAGAGTTGAACCTTTCTTTTGACAGAACTGTTCTGAAACATTCTTTTTATAGAATCTGGAAGTGGATATTTGGAAAGCTTTGAGGATTTCGTTGGAAACGGGAATATCTTCAAATAAAATCTAGCCAGAAGCATTCTAAGAAACATCTTAGGGATGTTTACATTCAAGTCACAGAGTTGAACATTCCCTTTCACAGAGCAGGTTTGAAACAATCTTCTCGTACTATCTGGAAGTGGACATTTTGAGCTCCTTGGGGCCTATGCTGAGAAAGGAAATAGCTTGCGACAAAAACTAGACAGAAGCATTCGCAGAATCACGTTTGTGATGTGTGCACTCAACTGTCAGAATTGAACCTTTGTTTGGACAGAGCACTTTTGAAACACTCTTTTTGTAGAATCTGCAGGTGGATATTTGGCTAGCTTTGAGGATTTCGTTGGAAACGGTAATGTCTTCAAAGAAAATCTAGACAGAAACATTCTCAGAAACACCTTCGTGATGTTTGCAATCAAGTCACAGAGTTGAACCTTCCGTTTCATAGAGCAGGTTGGAAACACTCTTTTTGTAGTATCTGGAAGTGGACATTTGGAGCGCTTTCAGGCCTATGGTGAGAAAGGAAATATCTTCCCATAAAAACGACATAGAAGCTATCTCAGGAACTTGTTTATGATGCATCTAATCAACTAACAGTGTTGAACCTTTGTACTGACAGAGCAGTTTGAAACACTCTTTTTTTGGAATCTGCAAGTGGATATTTGGATCGCTTTGAGGATTTCGTTGGAAACGGGATGCAATATAAAACGTACACAGCAGCATACTCAGAAAATACTTTGCCATATTTCCATTCAAGTCACAGAGTGGAACATTCCCATTCATAGAGCAGGTTGGAAACACTCTTTTTGGAGTATCTGGAAGTGGACATTTGGAGCGCTTTCTGAACTATGGTGAAAAAGGAAATATCTTCCAATGAAAACAAGACAGAAGCATTCTGAGAAACTTATTTGTGATGTGTGTCCTCAACAAACGGACTTGAAACTTTCGTTTCATGCAGTACTTCTGGAACACTCTTTTTGAAGATTCTGCATGCGGATATTTGGATAGCTTTGAGGATTTCGTTGGAAACGGGCTTACATGTAAAAATTAGACAGCAGCATTCTCAGAAACTTCTTTGTGGTGTCTGCATTCAAGTCACAGAATTGAACTTCCCCTCACATAGAGCAGTTGTGCAGCACTCTATTTGTAGTATCTCGAAGTGGACATTTGGAGGGCTTTGTAGCCTATCTGGAAAAAGGAAATATCTTCCCATGAATGCGAGATAGAAGTAATCTCAGAAACATGTTTATGCTGTATCTACTCAACTAACTGTGCTGAACATGTCTATTGATAGAGCAGTTTTGAGACACTCTTCTTTTGGAATCTGCAAGTGGATATTTGGATAGATTTGAGGATTTCGTTGGCAACGGGATTATATATAAAAAGTAGACAGCCAGCATTCTCAGAAACTTCTTTGTGATGTTTGCATCCAGCTCTCAGAGTTGAACATTCCCTTTCATAGAGTAGGTTTGAAACCCTCTTTTTATAGTGTCTGCAAGCGGGCATTTGGAGCGCTTTCAGGCCTATGCTTAAAATAGGAAATATCTACCTACAGAAACTAGACAGAGCATTCTGAGAATCACGTTTGTGATGTGGGTACTCAACTAACAGTGTTGATCCATTCTTTTGATACAGCAGTTTTGAACCACACTTTTTGTAGAATCTGCAAGAGGATATTTGGATAGCTGTGAGGATTTCGTTGGAAACGGGAATGTCTTCAAAGAAAATCTAGACAGAAGCATTCTCAGAACCTTGATTGTGATGTGTGTTCTCCACTAACAGAGTTGAACCTTTCTTTTGACAGAACTGTTCTGAAACATTCTTTTTATAGAATCTGGAAGTGGATATTTGGAAAGCTTTGAGGATTTCGTTGGAAACGGGAATATCTTCAAATCAAATCTAGCCAGAAGCATTCTAAGAAACATCTTAGGGATGTTTACATTCAAGTCACAGAGTTGAACATTCCCTTTCACAGAGCAGGTTTGAAACAATCTTCTCGTACTATCTGGCAGTGGACATTTTGAGCTCCTTGGGGCCTATGCTGAAAAAGGAAATATCTTCCGACAAAAACTAGACAGAAGCATTCGCAGAATCACGTTTGTGATGTGTGCACTCAACTGTCAGAATTGAACCTTGGTTTGGACAGAGCACTTTTGAAACACTCTTTTTGTAGAATCTGCAGGTGGATATTTGGCTAGCTTTGAGGATTTCGTTGGAAACGGTAATGTCTTCAAAGAAAATCTAGACAGAAGCATTCTCAGAAATACCTTCGTGATGTTTGCAATCAAGTCACAGAGTTGAACCTTCCGTTTCATAGAGCAGGTTGGAAACACTCTTATTGTAGTATCTGGAAGTGGACATTTGGAGCGCTTTCAGGCCTATGGTGAAAAAGGAAATATCTTCCCATAAAAACGACATAGAAGCTATCTCAGGAACTTTTTTATGATGCATCTAATCAACTAACAGTGTTGAACCTTTGTACTGACAGAGCAGTTTGAAACACTCTTTTTTTGGAATCTGCAAGTGGATATTTGGATCGCTTTGAGGATTTCGTTGGAAACGGGATGCAATATAAAACGTACACAGCAGCATACTCAGAAAATTCTTTGCCATATTTCCATTCAAGTCACAGAGTGGAACATTCCCATTCATAGAGCAGGTTGGAAACACTCTTTTTGGAGTATCTGGAAGTGGACATTTGGAGCGCTTTCTGAACTATGGTGAAAAAGGAAATATCTTCCAATGAAAACAAGACAGAAGCATTCTGAGAAACTTATTTGTGATGTGTGTCCTCAACAAACGGACTTGAACCTTTCGTTTCATGCAGTACTTCTGGAACACTCTTTTTGAAGATTCTGCATGCGGATATTTGGATAGCTTTGAGGATTTCGTTGGAAACGGGCTTACATGTAAAAATTAGACAGCAGCATTCTCAGAAACTTCTTTGTGGTGTCTGCATTCAAGTCACAGAATTGAACTTCCCCTCACATAGAGCAGTTGTGCAGCACTCTATTTGTAGTATCTGGAAGTGGACATTTGGAGGGCTTTGTAGCCTATCTGGAAAAAGGAAATATCTTCCCATGAATGCGAGATAGAAGTAATCTCAGAAACATGTTTATGCTGTATCTACTCAACTAACTGTGCTGAACATTTCTATTGATAGAGCAGTTTTGAGACCCTCTTCTTTTGGAATCTGCAAGTGGATATTTGGATAGATTTGAGGATTTCGTTGGAAACGGGATTATATATAAAAAGTAGACAGCCGCATTCCCAGAAACTTCTTTGTGATGTTTGCATCCAGCTCTCAGAGTTGAACATTCCCTTTCGTAGAGTAGGTTTGAAACCCTCTTTTTATAGTGTCTGGAAGCGGGCATTTGGAGCGCTTTCAGGCCTATGCTGAAAAAGGAAATATCTACCTATAGAAACTAGACAGAAGCATTCTGAGAATCACGTTTGTGATGTGGGTACTCAACTAACAGTGTTGATCCATTCTTTTGATACAGCAGTTTTGAACCACACTTTTTGTAGAATCTGCAAGTGGATATTTGGATAGCTGTGAGGATTTCCTTGGAAACGGGAATGTCTTCATAGAAAATTTAGACAGAAGCATTCTCAGAACCTTGATTGTGATGTGTGTTCTCCACTAACAGAGTTGAACCTTTCTTTTGACAGAACTGTTCTGAAACATTCTTTTTATAGAATCTGCAAGTGGATATTTGGAAAGCTTTGAGGATTTCGTTGGAAACGGGAATATCTTCAAATAAAATCTAGCCAGAAGCATTCTAAGAAACATCTTAGGGATGTTTACATTCAAGTCACAGAGTTGAACATTCCCTTTCACAGAGCAGGTTTGAAACAATCTTCTCGTACTATCTGGCAGTGGACATTTTGAGCTCCTTGGGGCCTATGCTGAAAAAGGAAATATCTTCCGACAAAAACTAGACAGAAGCATTCGCAGAATCACGTTTGTGATGTGTGCACTCAACTGTCAGAATTGAACCTTGGTTTGGACAGAGCACTTTTGAAACACTCTTTTTGTAGAATCTGCAGGTGGATATTTGGCTAGCTTTGAGGATTTCGTTGGAAACGGTAATGTCTTCAAAGAAAATCTAGACAGAAGCATTCTCAGAAACACCTTCGTGATGTTTGCAATCAAGTCACAGAGTTGAACCTTCCGTTTCATAGAGCAGGTTGGAAACACTCTTATTGTAGTATCTGGAAGTGGACATTTGGAGCGCTTTCAGGCCTATGGTGAAAAAGGAAATATCTTCCCATAAAAACGACATAGAAGCTATCTCAGGAACTTGTTTATGATGCATCCAATCAACTAACAGTGTTGAACATTTGTACTGACAGAGCAGTGTGAAACACTCTTTTTTTTGGAATCTGCAAGTGGATATTAGGATCGCTTTGAGGATTTCGTTGGAAACGGGATGCAATATAAAACGTACACAGCAGCATACTCAGAAAATACTTTGCCATATTTCCATTCAAGTCACAGAGTGGAACATTCCCATTCATAGAGCAGGTTGGAAACACTCTTTTTGGAGTATCTGGAAGTGGACATTTGGAGCGCTTTCTGAACTATGGTGAAAAAGGAAATATCTTCCAATGAAAACAAGACAGAAGCATTCTGAGAAACTTATTTGTGATGTGTGTCCTCAACAAACGGACTTGAACCTTTCGTTTCATGCAGTACTTCTGGAACACTCTTTTTGAAGATTCTGCATGCGGATATTTGGATAGCTTTGAGGATTTCGTTGGAAACGGGCTTACATGTAAAAATTAGACAGCAGCATTCTCAGAAACTTCTTTGTGGTGTCTGCATTCAAGTCACAGAATTGAACTTCCCCTCACATAGAGCAGTTGTGCAGCACTCTATTTGTAGTATCTCGAAGTGGACATTTGGAGGGCTTTGTAGCCTATCTGGAAAAAGGAAATATCTTCCCATGAATGCGAGATAGAAGTAATCTCAGAAACATGTTTATGCTGTATCTACTCAACTAACTGTGCTGAACATTTCTATTGATAGAGCAGTTTTGAGACACTCTTCTTTTGGAATCTGCAAGTGGATATTTGGATAGATTTGAGGATTTCGTTGGAAACGGGATTATATATAAAAAGTAGACAGCAGCATTCTCAGAAACTTCTTTGTGATGTTTGCATCCAGCTCTCAGAGTTGAACATTCCCTTTCATAGAGTAGGTTTGAAACCCTCTTTTTATAGTGTCTGGAAGCGGGCATTTGGAACGATTTCAGGCCTATGCGGAAAAAGGAAATATCTACCTATAGAAACTAGACAGAAGCATTCTGAGAATCACGTTTGTGATGTGGGTACTCAACTAACAGTGTTGATCCATTCTTTTGATACAGCAGTTTTGAACCACACTTTTTGTAGAATCTGCAAGTGGATATTTGGATAGCTGTGAGGATTTACCTTGGAAACGGGAATGTCTTCATAGAAAATTTAGACAGAAACATTCTCAGAACCTTGATTGTGATGTGTGTTCTCCACTAACAGAGTTGAACCTTTCTTTTGACAGAACTGTTCTGAAACATTCTTTTTATAGAATCTGGAAGTGGATATTTGGAAAGCTTTGAGGATTTCGTTGGAAACGGGAATATCTTCAAATCAAATCTAGCCAGAAGCATTCTAAGAAACATCTTAGGGATGTTTACATTCAAGTCACAGAGTTGAACATTCCCTTTAACAGAGCAGGTTTGAAACAATCTTCTCGTAGTATCTGGAAGTGGACATTTTGAGCTCCTTGGGGCCTATGCTGAAAAAGGAAATATCTTCCGACAAAAACTAGACAGAAGCATTCGCAGAATCACTTTTGTGATGTGTGCACTCAACTGTCAGAATTGAACCTTTGTTTGGACAGAGCACTTTTGAAACACTCTTTTTGTAGAATCTGCAGGTGGATATTTGACTAGCTTTGAGGATTTCGTTGGAAACGGTAATGTCTTCAAAGAAAATCTAGACAGAAACATTCTCAGAAACACCTTCGTGATGTTTGCAATCAAGTCACAGAGTTGAACCTTCCGTTTCGTAGAGCAGGTTGGAAACACTCTTTTTGTAGTATCTGGAAGTGGACATTTGGAGCGCTTTCAGGCCTATGGTGAAGAAGGAAATATCTTACCATAAAAACGACATAGAAGCTATCTCAGGAACTTGTTTATGATGCATCCAATCAACTAACAGTGTTGAACCTTTGTACTGACAGAGCAGTGTGAAACACTCTTTTTTTTGGAATCTGCAAGTGGATATTTGGATCGCTTTGAGGATTTCGTTGGAAACGGGATGCAATATAAAACGTACACAGCAGCATACTCAGAAAATACTTTGCCATATTTCCATTCAAGTCACAGAGTGGAACATTCCCATTCATAGAGCAGGTTTGAAACACTCTTTTTGGAGTATCTGGAAGTGGACATTTGGAGCGCTTTCTGAACTATGGTGAAAAAGGAAATATCTTCCAATGAAAACAAGACAGAAGCATTCTGAGAAACTTATTTGTGATGTGTGTCCTCAACAAACGGACTTGAACCTTTCGTTTCATGCAGTACTTCTGGAACACTCTTTTTGAAGATTCTGCATGCGGATATTTGGATAGCTTTGAGGATTTCGTTGGAAACGGGCTTACATGTAAAAATTAGACAGCAGCATTCTCAGAAACTTCTTTGTGGTGTCTGCATTCAAGTCACAGAATTGAACTTCCCCTCACATAGAGCAGTTGTGCAGCACTCTATTTGTAGTATCTCGAAGTGGACATTTGGAGGGCTTTGTAGCCTATCTGGAAAAAGGAAATATCTTCCCATGAATGCGAGATAGAAGTAATCTCAGAAACATGTTTATGCTGTATCTACTCAACTAACTGTGCTGAACATTTCTATTGATAGAGCAGTTTTGAGACACTCTTCTTTTGGAATCTGCAAGTGGATATTTGGATAGATTTGAGGATTTCGTTGGAAACGGGATTATATATAAAAAGTAGACAGCAGCATTCTCAGAAACTTCTTTGTGATGTTTGCATCCAGCTCTCAGAGTTGAACATTCCCTTTCATAGAGTAGGTTTGAAACCCTCTTTTTATAGTGTCTGGAAGCGGGCATTTGGAGCGCTTTCAGGCCTATGCTTAAAATAGGAAATATCTACCTACAGAAACTAGACAGAAGCATTCTGAGAATCACGTTTGTGATGTGGGTACTCAACTAACAGTGTTGATCCATTCTTTTGATACAGCAGTTTTGAACCACACTTTTTGTAGAATCTGCAAGTGGATATTTGGATAGCTGTGAGGATTTCGTTGGAAACGGGAATGTCTTCATAGAAAATTTAGACAGAAGCATTCTCAGAACCTTGATTGTGATGTGTGTTCTCCACTAACAGAGTTGAACCTTTCTTTTGACAGAACTGTTCTGAAACATTCTTTTTATAGAATCTGGAAGTGGATATTTGGAAAGCTTTGAGGATTTCGTTGGAAACGGGAATATCTTCAAATCAAATCTAGCCAGAAGCATTCTAAGAAACAGCTTAGGGATGTTTACATTCAAGTCACAGAGTTGAACATTCCCTTTCACAGAGCAGGTTTGAAACAATCTTCTCGTACTATCTGGCAGTGGACATTTTGAGCTCTTTGGGGCCTATGCTGAAAAAGGAAATATCTTCCGACAAAAACTAGACAGAAGCATTCGCAGAATCACGTTTGTGATGTGTGCACTCAACTGTCAGAATTGAACCTTGGTTTGGACAGAGCACTTTTGAAACACTCTTTTTGTAGAATCTGCAGGTGGATATTTGGCTAGCTTTGAGGATTTCGTTGGAAACGGTAATGTCTTCAAAGAAAATCTAGACAGAAGCATTCTCAGAAACACCTTCGTGATGTTTGCAATCAAGTCACAGAGTTGAACCTTCCGTTTCATAGAGCAGGTTGGAAACACTCTTTCTGTAGTATCTGGAAGTGGACATTTGGAGGGCTTTGTAGCCTATCTGGAAAAAGGAAATATCTTCCCATGAATGCGAGATAGAAGCTATCTCAGGAACTTGTTTATGATGCATCTAATCAACTAACAGTGTTGAACCTTTGTACTGACAGAGCACTTTGAAACACTCTTTTTTTGGAATCTGCAAGTGGATATTTGGATCGCTTTGAGGATTTCGTTGGAAACGGGATGCAATATAAAACGTACACAGCAGCATACTCAGAAAATACTTTGCCATATTTCCATTCAAGTCACAGAGTGGAACATTCCCATTCATAGAGCAGGTTGGAAACACTCTTTTTGGAGTATCTGGAAGTGGACATTTGGAGCGCTTTCTGAACTATGGTGAAAAAGGAAATATCTTCCAATGAAAACAAGACAGAAGCATTCTGAGAAACTTATTTGTGATGTGTGTCCTCAACAAACGGACTTGAACCTTTCGTTTCATGCAGTACTTCTGGAACACTCTTTTTGAAGATTCTGCATTCGGATATTTGGATAGCTTTGAGGATTTCGTTGGAAACGGGCTTACATGTAAAAATTAGACAGCAGAGCATTCTCAGAAACTTCTTTGTGGTGTCTGCATTCAAGTCACAGAATTGAAATTCCCCTCACATAGAGCAGTTGTGCAGCACTCTATTTGTAGTATCTGGAAGTGGACATTTGGAGGGCTTTGTAGCCTATCTGGAAAAAGGAAATATCTTCCCATGAATGCGAGATAGAAGTAATCTCAGAAACATGTTTATGCTGTATCTACTCAACTAACTGTGCTGAACATTTCTATTGATAGAGCAGTTTTGAGACACTCTTCTTTGGAATCTGCAAGTGGATATTTGGATAGATTTGAGGATTTCGTTGGAAACGGGATTATATATAAAAAGTAGACAGCAGCATTCTCAGAAACTTCTTTGTGATGTTTGCATCCAGCTCTCAGAGTTGAACATTCCCTTTCATAGAGTAGGTTTGAAACCCTCTTTTTATAGTGTCTGGAAGCGGGCATTTGGAGCGCTTTCAGGCCTATGCTTAAAATAGGAAATATCTACCTACAGAAACTAGACAGAAGCATTCTGAGAATCACGTTTGTGATGTGGGTACTCAACTAACAGTGTTGATCCATTCTTTTGATACAGCAGTTTTGAACCACACTTTTTGTAGAATCTGCAAGAGGATATTTGGATAGCTGTGAGGATTTCGTTGGAAACGGGAATGTCTTCAAAGAAAATCTAGACAGAAGCATTCTCAGAACCTTGATTGTGATGTGTGTTCTCCACTAACAGAGTTGAACCTTTCTTTTGACAGAACTGTTCTGAAACATTCTTTTTATAGAATCTGGAAGTGGATATTTGGAAAGCTTTGAGGATTTCGTTGGAAACGGGAATATCTTCAAATCAAATCTAGCCAGAAGCATTCTAAGAAACATCTTAGGGATGTTTACATTCAAGTCACAGAGTTGAACATTCCCTTTCACAGAGCAGGTTTGAAACAATCTTCTCGTACTATCTGGCAGTGGACATTTTGAGCTCTTTGGGGCCTATGCTGAAAAAGGAAATATCTTCCGACAAAAACTAGACAGAAGCATTCGCAGAATCACGTTTGTGATGTGTGCACTCAACTGTCAGAATTGAACCTTGGTTTGGACAGAGCACTTTTGAAACACTCTTTTTGTAGAATCTGCAGGTGGATATTTGGCTAGCTTTGAGGATTTCGTTGGAAACGGTAATGTCTTCAAAGAAAATCTAGACAGAAGCATTCTCAGAAATACCTTCGTGATGTTTGCAATCAAGTCACAGAGTTGAACCTTCCGTTTCATAGAGCAGGTTGGAAACATTCTTATTGTAGTATCTGGAAGTGGACATTTGGAGCGCTTTCAGGCCTATGGTGAAAAAGGAAATATCTTCCCATAAAAACGATATAGAAGCTATCTCAGGAACTTGTTTATGATGCATCTAATCAACTAACAGTGTTGAACTTTTGTACTGACAGAGCAGTTTGAAACACTCTTTTTTTGGAATCTGCAAGTGGATATTTGGATCGCTTTGAGGATTTCGTTGGAAACGGGATGCAATATAAAACGTACACAGCAGCATACTCAGAAAATACTTTGCCATATTTCCATTCAAGTCACAGAGTGGAACATTCCCATTCATAGAGCAGGTTTGAAACACTCTTTTTGGAGTATCTGGAAGTGGACATTTGGAGCGCTTTCTGAACTATGGTGAAAAAGGAAATATCTTCCAATGAAAACAAGACAGAAAGCATTCTGAGAAACTTATTTGTGATGTGTGTCCTCAACAAACGGACTTGAACCTTTCGTTTCATGCAGTACTTCTGGAACACTCTTTTTGAAGATTCTGCATGCGGATATTTGGATAGCTTTGAGGATTTCGTTGGAAACGGGCTTACATGTAAAAATTAGACAGCAGCATTCTCAGAAACTTCTTTGTGGTGTCTGCATTCAAGTCACAGAATTGAACTTCCCCTCACATAGAGCAGTTGTGCAGCACTCTATTTGTAGTATCTCGAAGTGGACATTTGGAGGGCTTTGTAGCCTATCTGGAAAAAGGAAATATCTTCCCATGAATGCGAGATAGAAGTAATCTCAGAAACATGTTTATGCTGTATCTACTCAACTAACTGTGCTGAACATTTCTATTGATAGAGCAGTTTTGAGACACTCTTCTTTTGGAATCTGCAAGTGGATATTTGGATAGATTTGAGGATTTCGTTGGAAACGGGATTATATATAAAAAGTAGACAGCAGCATTCTCAGAAACTTCTTTGTGATGTTTGCATCCAGCTCTCAGAGTTGAACATTCCCTTTCATAGAGTAGGTTTGAAACCCTCTTTTTATAGTGTCTGGAAGCGGGCATTTGGAGCGCTTTCAGGCCTATGCTGAAAAAGGAAATATCTACCTATAGAAACTAGACAGAAGGATTCTGAGAATCACGTTTGTGATGTGGGTACTCAACTAACAGTGTTGATCCATTCTTTTGATACAGCAGTTTTGAACCACACTTTTTGTAGAATCTGCAAGTGGATATTTGGATAGCTGTGAGGATTTCCTTGGAAACGGGAATGTCTTCATAGAAAATTTAGACAGAAGCATTCTCAGAACCTTGATTGTGATGTGTGTTCTCCACTAACAGAGTTGAACCATTCTTTTGACAGAACTGTTCTGAAACATTCTTTTTATAGAATCTGGAAGTGGATATTTGGAAAGCTTTGAGGATTTCGTTGGAAACGGGAATATCTTCAAATCAAATCTAGCCAGAAGCATTCTAAGAAACATCTTAGGGATGTGTACATTCAAGTCACAGAGTTGAAAATTCCCCTTTCTCAGAGCAGGTTTGAAACAATCTTCTCGTACTATCTGGAAGTGGACATTTTGAGCTCCTTGGGGCCTATGCTGAAAAAGGAAATATCTTCCGACAAAAAGTAGACAGAAGCATTCGCAGAATCACGTTTGTGATGTGTGCACTCAACTGTCAGAATTGAACCTTTGTTTCGACAGAGCACCTATGAAACACTCTTTTTGTAGAATCTGCAGGTGGATATTTGGCTAGCTTTGAGGATTTCGTTGGAAACGGTAATGTCTTCAAAGAAAATCAAGACAGAAACATTCTCAGAAACACCTTCGTGATGTTTGCAATCAAGTCACAGAGTTGAACCTTCCGTTTCATAGAGCAGGTTGGAAACACTCTTTTTGTAGTATCTGGAAGTGGACATTTGGAGCGCTTTCAGGCCTATGGTGAAAAAGGAAATATCTTCCCATAAAAACGACATAGAAGCTATCTCAGGAACTTGTTTATGATGCATCTAATCAACTAACAGTGTTGAACCTTTGTACTGACAGAGCAGTTTGAAACACTCTTTTTTGGAATCTTCAAGTGGATATTTGGATCGCTTTGAGGATTTCGTTGGAAACGGGATGCAATATAAAACGTACACAGCAGCATACTCAGAAAATACTTTGCCATATTTCCATTCAAGTCACAGAGTGGAACATTCCCATTCATAGAGCAGGTTGGAAACACTCTTTTTGGAGTATCTGGAAGTGGACATTTGGAGCGCTTTCTGAACTATGGTGAAAAAGGAAATATCTTCCAATGAAAACAAGACAGAAGCATTCTGAGAAACTTATTTGTGATGTGTGTCCTCAACTAACGGACTTGAACCTTTCGTTTCATGCAGTACTTCTGGAACACTCTTTTTGAAGATTCTGCATGCGGATATTTGGATAGCTTTGAGGATTTCGTTGGAAACGGGCTTACATATAAAAATTAGACAGCAGCATTCTCAGAAACTTCTTTGTGGTGTCTGCATTCAAGTCACAGAATTGAACTTCCCCTCACATAGAGCAGTTGTGCAGCACTCTATTTGTAGTATCTGGAAGTGGACATTTGGAGGGCTTTGTAGCCTATCTGGAAAAAGGAAATATCTTCCCATGAATGCGAGATAGAAGTAATCTCAGAAACATGTTTATGCTGTATCTACTCAACTAACTGTGCTGAACATTTCTATTGATAGAGCAGTTTTGAGACACTCTTCTTTTGGAATCTGCAAGTGGATATTTGGATAGATTTGAGGATTTCGTTGGAAACGGGATTATATATAAAAAGTAGACAGCAGCATTCTCAGAAACTTCTTTGTGATGTTTGCATCCAGCTCTCAGAGTTGAACATTCCCTTTCATAGAGTAGGTTTGAAACCCTCTTTTTATAGTGTCTGGAAGCGGGCATTTGGAGCGCTTTCAGGCCTATGCTGAAAAAGGAAATATCTACCTATAGAAACTAGACAGAAGCATTCTGAGAATCACGTTTGTGATGTGGGTACTCAACTAACAGTGTTGATCCATTCTTTTGATACAGCAGTTTTGAACCACACTTTTTGTAGAATCTGCAAGTGGATATTTGGATAGCTGTGAGGATTTCGTTGGAAACGGGAATGTCTTCATAGAAAATTTAGACAGAAGCATTCTCAGAACCTTGATTGTGATGTGTGTTCTCCACTAACAGGGTTGAACCTTTCTTTTGACAGAACTGTTTTGAAACATTCTTTTTATAGAATCTGGAAGTGGATATTTGGAAAGCTTTGAGGATTTCGTTGGAAACGGGAATATCTTCAAATCAAATCTAGCCAGAAGCATTCTAAGAAACATCTTAGGGATGTTTACATTCAAGTCACAGAGTTGAACATTCCCTTTCACAGAGCAGGTTTGAAACAATCTTCTCGTACTATCTGGCAGTGGACATTTTGAGCTCTTTGGGGCCTATGCTGAAAAAGGAAATATCTTCCGACAAAAACTAGACAGAAGCATTCGCAGAATCACGTTTGTGATGTGTGCACTCAACTGTCAGAATTGAACCTTGGTTTGGACAGAGCACTTTTGAAACACTCTTTTTGTAGAATCTGCAGGTGGATATTTGGCTAGCTTTGAGGATTTCGTTGGAAACGGTAATGTCTTCAAAGAAAATCTAGACAGAAGCATTCTCAAAAACACTTTCGTGATGTTTGCAATCAAGTCACAGAGTTGAACCTTCCATTTCATAGAGCAGGTTGGAAACACTCTTTTTGTAGTATCTGGAAGTGGACATTTGGAGCGCTTTCAGGCCTATGGTGAAAAAGGAAATATCTTCCCATAAAAACGACATAGAAGCTATCTCAGGAACTTGTTTATGATGCATCTAATCAACTAACAGTGTTGAACCTTTGTACTGACAGAGCAGTTTGAAACACTCTTTTTTTGGAATCTGCAAGTGGATATTTGGATCGCTTTGAGGATTTCGTTGGAAACGGGATGCAATATAAAACGTACACAGCAGCATACTCAGAAAATACTTTGCCATATTTCCATTCAAGTCACAGAGTGGAACATTCCCATTCATAGAGCAGGTTGGAAACACTCTTTTTGGAGTATCTGGAAGTGGACATTTGGAGCGCTTTCTGAACTATGGTGAAAAAGGAAATATCTTCCAATGAAAACAAGACAGAAGCATTCTGAGAAACTTATTTGTGATGTGTGTCCTCAACAAACGGACTTGAACCTTTCGTTTCATGCAGTACTTCTGGAACACTCTTTTTGAAGATTCTGCATGCGGATATTTGGATAGCTTTGAGGATTTCGTTGGAAACGGGCTTACATGTAAAAATTAGACAGCAGCATTCTCAGAAACTTCTTTGTGGTGTCTGCATTCAAGTCACAGAATTGAACATCCCCTCACATAGAGCAGTTGTGCAGCACTCTATTTGTAGTATCTCGAAGTGGACATTTGGAGGGCTTTGTAGCCTATCTGGAAAAAGGAAATATCTTCCCATGAATGCGAGATAGAAGTAATCTGAGAAACATGTTTATGCTGTATCTACTCAACTAACTGTGCTGAACATTTCTATTGATAGAGCAGTTTTGAGACACTCTTCTTTTGGAATCTGCAAGTGGATATTTGGATAGATTTGAGGATTTCGTTGGAAACGGGATTATATATAAAAAGTAGACAGCAGCATTCTCAGAAACTTCTTTGTGATGTTTGCATCCAGCTCTCAGAGTTGAACATTCCCTTTCATAGAGTAGGTTTGAAACCCTCTTTTTATAGTGTCTCGAAGAGGGCATTTGGAGCGCTTTCAGGCCTATGCTTAAAATAGGAAATATCTACCTACAGAAACTAGACAGAAGCATTCTGAGAATCACGTTTGTGATGTGGGTACTCAACTAACAGTGTTGATCCATTCTTTTGATACAGCAGTTTTGAACCACACTTTTTGTAGAATCTGCAAGAGGATATTTGGATAGCTGTGAGGATTTCGTTGGAAACGGGAATGTCTTCAAAGAAAATCTAGACAGAAGCATTCTCAGAACCTTGATTGTGATGTGTGTTCTCCACTAACAGGGTTGAACCTTTCTTTTGACAGAACTGTTTTGAAACATTCTTTTTATAGAATCTGGAAGTGGATATTTGGAAAGCTTTGAGGATTTCATTGGAAACGGGAATATCTTCAAATCAAATCTAGCCAGAAGCATTCTAAGAAACATCTTAGGGATGTTTACATTCAAGTCACAGAGTTGAACATTCCCTTTCACAGAGCAGGTTTGAAACAATCTTCTCGTACTATCTGGCAGTGGACATTTTGAGCTCCTTGGGGCCTATGCTGAAAAAGGAAATATCTTCCGACAAAAACTAGACAGAAGCATTCGCAGAATCACGTTTGTGATGTGTGCACTCAACTGTCAGAATTGAACCTTGGTTTGGACAGAGCACTTTTGAAACACTCTTTTTGTAGAATCTGCAGGTGGATATTTGGCTAGCTTTGAGGATTTCGTTGGAAACGGTAATGTCTTCAAAGAAAATCTAGACAGAAACATTCTCAGAAACACCTTCGTGATGTTTGCAATCAAGTCAAAGAGTTGAACCTTCCGTTTCGTAGAGCAGGTTGGAAACACTCTTTTTGTAGTATCTGGAAGTGGACATTTGGAGCGCTTTCAGGCCTATGGTGAAGAAGGAAATATCTTACCATAAAAACGACATAGAAGCTATCTCAGGAACTTGTTTATGATGCATCCAATCAACTAACAGTGTTGAACCTTTGTACTGACAGAGCAGTGTGAAACACTCTTTTTTTTGGAATCTGCAAGTGGATATTTGGATCGCTTTGAGGATTTCGTTGGAAACGGGATGCAATATAAAACGTACACAGCAGCATACTCAGAAAATACTTTGCCATATTTCCATTCAAGTCACAGAGTGGAACATTCCCATTCATAGAGCAGGTTTGAAACAGTCTTTTTGGAGTATCTGGAAGTGGACATTTGGAGCGCTTTCTGAACTATGGTGAAAAAGGAAATATCTTCCAATGAAAACAAGACAGAAGCATTCTGAGAAACTTATTTGTGATGTGTGTCCTCAACAAACGGACTTGAACCTTTCGTTTCATGCAGTACTTCTGGAACACTCTTTTTGAAGATTCTGCATGCGGATATTTGGATAGCTTTGAGGATTTCGTTGGAAACGGGCTTACATGTAAAAATTAGACAGCAGCATTCTCAGAAACTTCTTTGTGGTGTCTGCATTCAAGTCACAGAATTGAACATCCCCTCACATAGAGCAGTTGTGCAGCACTCTATTTGTAGTATCTGGAAGTGGACATTTGGAGGGCTTTGTAGCCTATCTGGAAAAAGGAAATATCTTCCCATGAATGCGAGATAGAAGTAATCTCAGAAACATGTTTATGCTGTATCTACTCAACTAACTGTGCTGAACATTTCTATTGATAGAGCAGTTTTCAGACACTCTTCTTTTGGAATCTGCAAGTGGATATTTGGATAGATTTGAGGATTTCGTTGGAAACGGGATTATATATAAAAAGTAGACAGCAGCATTCTCAGAAACTTCTTTGTGATGTTTGCATCCAGCTCTCAGAGTTGAACATTCCCTTTCATAGAGTAGGTTTGAAACCCTCTTTTTATAGTGTCTGGAAGCGGGCATTTGGAGCGCTTTCAGGCCTATGCTTAAAATAGGAAATATCTACCTACAGAAACTAGACAGAAGCATTCTGAGAATCACGTTTGTGATGTGGGTACTCAACTAACAGTGTTGATCCATTCTTTTGATACAGCAGTTTTGAACCACACTTTTTGTAGAATCTGCAAGAGGATATTTGGATAGCTGTGAGGATTTCGTTGGAAACGGGAATGTCTTCAAAGAAAATCTAGACAGAAGCATTCTCAGAACCTGGATTGTGATGTGAGTTCTCCACTAACAGAGTTGAACCTTTCTTTGGACAGAACTGATTTGAAACATTCTTTTTAGAGAATCTGGAAGTGGATATTTGGAAAGTTTTGAGGATTTCGTTGGAAATGGGAATATCTTCAAATAAAATCTAGCCAGAAGCATTCTAAGAAACATCTTAGGGATGTTTACATTCAAGTCACAGAGTTGAACATTCCCCTTTCTCAGAGCAGGTTTGAAACAATCTTCTCGTACTATCTGGCAGTGGACATTTTGAGCTCCTTGGGGCCTATGCTGAAAAAGGAAATATCTTCCGACAAAAACTAGACAGAAGCATTCGCAGAATCACGTTTGTGATGTGTGCACTCAACTGTCAGAATTGAACCTTGGTTTGGACAGAGCACTTTTGAAACACTCTTTTTGTAGAATCTGCAGGTGGATATTTGGCTAGCTTTGAGGATTTCGTTGGAAACGGTAATGTCTTCAAAGAAAATCTAGACAGAAGCATTCTCAGAAACACCTTCGTGATGTTTGCAATCAAGTCACAGAGTTGAACCTTCCGTTTCATAGAGCAGGTTGGAAACACTCTTTTTGTAGTATCTGGAAGTGGACATTTGGAGGGCTTTGTAGCCTATCTGGAAAAAGGAAATATCTTCCCATGAATGCGAGATAGAAGCTATCTCAGGAACTTGTTTATGATGCATCTAATCAACTAACAGTGTTGAACCTTTGTACTGACAGAGCAGTTTGAAACACTCTTTTTTTGGAATCTGCAAGTGGATATTTGGATCGCTTTGAGGATTTCGTTGGAAACGGGATGCAATATAAAACGTACACAGCAGCATACTCAGAAAATACTTTGCCATATTTCCATTCAAGTCACAGAGTGGAACATTCCCATTCATAGAGCAGGTTTGACACACTCTTTTTGTAGTATCTGGAAGTGGACATTTGGAGCGCTTTCTGAACTATGGTGAAAAAGGAAATATCTTCCAATGAAAACAAGACAGAAGCATTCTGAGAAACTTATTTGTGATGTGTGTCCTCAACAAACGGACTTGAACCTTTCGTTTCATGCAGTACTTCTGGAACACTCTTTTTGAAGATTCTGCATGCGGATATTTGGATAGCTTTGAGGATTTCGTTGGAAACGGGCTTACATGTAAAAATTAGACAGCAGCATTCTCAGAAACTTCTTTGTGGTGTCTGCATTCAAGTCACAGAATTGAACTTCCCCTCACATAGAGCAGTTGTGCAGCACTCTATTTGTAGTATCTCGAAGTGGACATTTGGAGGGCTTTGTAGCCTATCTGGAAAAAGGAAATATCTTCCCATGAATGCGAGATAGAAGTAATCTCAGAAACATGTTTATGCTGTATCTACTCAACTAACTGTGCTGAACATTTCTATTGATAGAGCAGTTTTGAGACACTCTTCTTTTGGAATCTGCAAGTGGATATTTGGATAGATTTGAGGATTTCGTTGGAAACGGGATTATATATCAAAAGTAGACAGCAGCATTCTCAGAAACTTCTTTGTGATGTTTGCATCCAGCTCTCAGAGTTGAACATTCCCTTTCATAGAGTAGGTTTGAAACCCTCTTTTTATAGTGTCTGGAAGCGGGCATTTGGAGCGCTTTCAGGCCTATGCTTAAAATAGGAAATATCTACCTACAGAAACTAGACAGAAGCATTCTGAGAATCACGTTTGTGATGTGGGTACTCAACTAACAGTGTTGATCCATTCTTTTGATACAGCAGTTTTGAACCACACTTTTTGTAGAATCTGCAAGTGGATATTTGGATAGCTGTGAGGATTTCGTTGGAAACGGGAATGTCTTCATAGAAAATTTAGACAGAAGCATTCTCAGAACCTTGATTGTGATGTGTGTTCTCCACTAACAGAGTTGAACCTTTCTTTTGACAGAACTGTTCTGAAACATTCTTTTTATAGAATCTGGAAGTGGATATTTGGAAAGCTTTGAGGATTTCGTTGGAAACGGGAATATCTTCAAATAAAATCTAGCCAGAAGCATTCTAAGAAACATCTTAGGGATGTTTACATTCAAGTCACAGAGTTGAACATTCCCTTTCACAGAGCAGGTTTGAAACAATCTTCTCGTACTATCTGGAAGTGGACATTTTGAGCTCCTTGGGGCTTATGCTGAAAAAGGAAATATCTTCCGACAAGAACCAGACAGAAGCATTCGCAGAATCACGTTTGTGATGTGTGCACTCAACTGTCAGAATTGAACCTTGGTTTGGACAGAGCACTTTTGAAACACTCTTTTTGTAGAATCTGCAGGTGGATATTTGGCTAGCTTTGAGGATTTCGTTGGAAACGGTAATGTCTTCAAAGAAAATCTAGACAGAAGCATTCTCAGAAACACCTTCGTGATGTTTGCAATCAAGTCACAGAGTTGAACCTTCCGTTTCATAGAGCAGGTTGGAAACACTCTTATTGTAGTATCTGGAAGTGGACATTTGGAGCGCTTTCAGGCCTATGGTGAAAAAGGAAATATCTTCCCATAAAAACGACATAGAAGCTATCTCAGGAACTTGTTTATGATGCATCTAATCAACTAACAGTGTTGAACCTTTGTACTGACAGAGCAGTTTGAAACACTCTTTTTTTGGAATCTGCAAGTGGATATTTGGATCGCTTTGAGGATTTCGTTGGAAACGGGATGCAATATAAAACGTACACAGCAGCATACTCAGAAAATACTTTGCCATATTTCCATTCAAGTCACAGAGTGGAACATTCCCATTCATAGAGCAGGTTGGAAACACTCTTTTTGGAGTATCTGGAAGTGGACATTTGGAGCGCTTTCTGAACTATGGTGAAAAAGGAAATATCTTCCAATGAAAACAAGACAGAAGCATTCTGAGAAACTTATTTGTGATGTGTGTCCTCAACAAACGGACTTGAACCTTTCGTTTCATGCAGTACTTCTGGAACACTCTTTTTGAAGATTCTGCATGCGGATATTTGGATAGCTTTGAGGATTTCGTTGGAAACGGGCTTACATGTAAAAATTAGACAGCAGCATTCTCAGAAACTTCTTTGTGGTGTCTGCATTCAAGTCACAGAATTGAACTTCCCCTCACATAGAGCAGTTGTGCAGCACTCTATTTGTAGTATCTGGAAGTGGACATTTGGAGGGCTTTGTAGCCTATCTGGAAAAAGGAAATATCTTCCCATGAATGCGAGATAGAAGTATCTCAGAAACATGTTTATGCTGTATCTACTCAACTAACTGTGCTGAACATTTCTATTGATAGAGCAGTTTTGAGACACTCTTCTTTTGGAATCTGCAAGTGGATATTTGGATAGATTTGAGGATTTCGTTGGAAACGGGATTATATATCAAAAGTAGACAGCAGCATTCTCAGAAACTTCTTTGTGATGTTTGCATCCAGCTCTCAGAGTTGAACATTCCCTTTCATAGAGTAGGTTTGAAACCCTCTTTTTATAGTGTCTGGAAGCGGGCATTTGGAGCGCTTTCAGGCCTATGCTGAAAAAGGAAATATCTACCTATAGAAACTAGACAGAAGCATTCTGAGAATCACGTTTGTGATGTGGGTACTCAACTAACAGTGTTGATCCATTCTTTTGATACAGCAGTTTTGAACCACACTTTTTGTAGAATCTGCAAGTGGATATTTGGATAGCTGTGAGGATTTCGTTGGAAACGGGAATGTCTTCATAGAAAATTTAGACAGAAGCATTCTCAGAACCTTGATTGTGGTGTGTGTTCTCCACTAACAGAGTTGAACCTTTCTTTTGACAGAACTGTTCTGAAACATTCTTTTTATAGAATCTGGAAGTGTATATTTGGAAAGCTTTGAGGATTTCATTGGAAACGGGAATATCTTCAAATAAAATCTAGCCAGAAGCATTCTAAGAAACATCTTAGGGATGTTTACATTCAAGTCACAGAGTTGAACATTCCCTTTCACAGAGCAGGTTTGAAACAATCTTCTCGTACTATCTGGCAGTGGACATTTTGAGCTCCTTGGGGCCTATGCTGAAAAAGGAAATATCTTCCGACAAAAACTAGACAGAAGCATTCGCAGAATCACGTTTGTGATGTGTGCACTCAACTGTCAGAATTGAACCTTGGTTTGGACAGAGCACTTTTGAAACACTCTTTTTGTAGAATCTGCAGGTGGATATTTGGCTAGCTTTGAGGATTTCGTTGGAAACGGTAATGTCTTCAAAGAAAATCTAGACAGAAGCATTCTCAGAAACACCTTCGTGATGTTTGCAATCAAGTCACAGAGTTGAACCTTCCGTTTCATAGAGCAGGTTGGAAACACTCTTTTTGTAGTATCTGGAAGTGGACATTTGGAGTGCTTTCAGGCCTATGGTGAAAAAGGAAATATCTTCCCATAAAAACGACATAGAAGCTATCTCAGGAACTTGTTTATGATGCATCTAATCAACTAACAGTGTTGAACCTTTGTACTGACAGAGCAGTTTGAAACACTCTTTTTTTGGAATCTGCAAGTGGATATTTGGATCGCTTTGAGGATTTCGTTGGAAACGGGATGCAATATAAAACGTACACAGCAGCATACTCAGAAAATACTTTGCCATATTTCCATTCAAGTCACAGAGTGGAACATTCCCATTCATAGAGCAGGTTGGAAACACTCTTTTTGGAGTATCTGGAAGTGGACATTTGGAGCGCTTTCTGAACTATGGTGAAAAAGGAAATATCTTCCAATGAAAACAAGACAGAAGCATTCTGAGAAACTTATTTGTGATGTGTGTCCTCAACAAACGGACTTGAACCTTTCGTTTCATGCAGTACTTCTGGAACACTCTTTTTGAAGATTCTGCATGCGGATATTTGGATAGCTTTGAGGATTTCGTTGGAAACGGGCTTACATGTAAAAATTAGACAGCAGCATTCTCAGAAACTTCTTTGTGGTGTCTGCATTCAAGTCACAGAATTGAACTTCCCCTCACATAGAGCAGTTGTGCAGCACTCTATTTGTAGTATCTGGAAGTGGACATTTGGAGGGCTTTGTAGCCTATCTGGAAAAAGGAAATATCTTCCCATGAATGCGAGATAGAAGTAATCTCAGAAACATGTTTATGCTGTATCTACTCAACTAACTGTGCTGAACATTTCTATTGATAGAGCAGTTTTGAGACACTCTTCTTTTGGAATCTGCAAGTGGATATTTGGATAGATTTGAGGATTTCGTTGGAAACGGGATTATATATCAAAAGTAGACAGCCGCATTCTCAGAAACTTCTTTGTGATGTTTGCATCCAGCTCTCAGAGTTGAACATTCCCTTTCGTAGAGTAGGTTTGAAACCCTCTTTTTATAGTGTCTGGAATCGGGCATTTGGAGCGCTTTCAGGCCAATGCTGAAAAAGGAAATATCTACCTATAGAAACTAGACAGAAGCATTCTGAGAATCACGTTTGTGATGTGGGTACTCAACTAACAGTGTTGATCCATTCTTTTGATACAGCAGTTTTGCACCACACTTTTTGTAGAATCTGCAATTGGATATTTGGATAGCTGTGAGGATTTCCTTGGAAACGGGAATGTCTTCATAGAAAATTTAGACAGAAGCATTCTCAGAACCTTGATTGTGATGTGTGTTCTCCACTAACAGGGTTGAACCTTTCTTTTGACAGAACTGTTCTGAAACATTCTTTGTATAGAATCTGGAAGTGGATATTTGGAAAGCTTTGAGGATTTCGTTGGAAACGGGAATATCTTCAAATAAAATCTAGCCAGAAGCATTCTAAGAAACATCTTAGGGATGTTTACATTCAAGTCACAGAGTTGAACATTCCCTTTCACAGAGC
This sequence comes from Homo sapiens, assembly GCF_000001405.40. Lineage (NCBI taxonomy): Eukaryota > Metazoa > Chordata > Mammalia > Primates > Hominidae > Homo > Homo sapiens. The sequence goes on from NC_000008.11 coordinate 45,847,348, forward strand.
AGGTTTGAAACAATCTTCTCGTAGTATCTGGAAGTGGACATTTTGAGCTCCTTGGGGCCTATGCTGAAAAAGGAAATATCTTCCGACAAAAACTAGACAGAAGCATTCGCAGAATCACGTTTGTGATGTGTGCACTCAACTGTCAGAACTGAACCTTGGTTTGGACAGAGCACTTTTGAAACACTCTTTTTGTAGAATCTGCAGGTGGATATTTGGCTAGCTTTGAGGATTTCGTTGGAAACGGTAATGTCTTCAAAGAAAATCTAGACAGAAGCATTCTCAGAAACACCTTCGTGATGTTTGCAATCAAGTCACAGAGTTGAACCTTCCGTTTCATAGAGCAGGTTGGAAACACTCTTTTTGTAGTATCTGGAAGTGGACATTTGGAGGGCTTTGTAGCCTATCTGGAAAAAGGAAATATCTTCCCATGAATGCGAGATAGAAGCTATCTCAGGAACTTGTTTATGAGGCATCTAATCAACTAACAGTGTTGAACCTTTGTACTGACAGAGCAGTTTGAAACACTCTTTTTTTGGAATCTGCAAGTGGATATTTGGATCGCTTTGAGGATTTCGTTGGAAACGGGATGCAATATAAAACGTACACAGCAGCATACTCAGAAAATACTTTGCCATATTTCCATTCAAGTCACAGAGTGGAACATTCCCATTCATAGAGCAGGTTTGAAACACTCTTTTTGGAGTATCTGGAAGTGGACATTTGGAGCGCTTTCTGAACTATGGTGAAAAAGGAAATATCTTCCAATGAAAACAAGACAGAAGCATTCTGAGAAACTTATTTGTGATGTGTGTCCTCAACAAACGGACTTGAACCTTTCGTTTCATGCAGTACTTCTGGAACACTCTTTTTGAAGATTCTGCATGCGGATATTTGGATAGCTTTGAGGATTTCGTTGGAAACGGGCTTACATGTAAAAATTAGACAGCAGCATTCTCAGAAACTTCTTTGTGGTGTCTGCATTCAAGTCACAGAATTGAACTTCCCCTCACATAGAGCAGTTGTGCAGCACTCTATTTGTAGTATCTGGAAGTGGACATTTGGAGGGCTTTGTAGCCTATCTGGAAAAAGGAAATATCTTCCCATGAATGCGAGATAGAAGTAATCTCAGAAACATGTTTATGCTGTATCTAATCAACTAACTGTGCTGAACATTTCTATTGATAGAGCAGTTTTGAGACACTCTTCTTTTGGAATCTGCAAGTGGATATTTGGATAGATTTGAGGATTTCGTTGGAAACGGGATTATATATAAAAAGTAGACAGCAGCATTCTCAGAAACTTCTTTGTGATGTTTGCATCCAGCTCTCAGAGTTGAACATTCCCTTTCATAGAGTAGGTTTGAAACCCTCTTTTTATAGTGTCTGGAAGCGGGCATTTGGAGCGCTTTCAGGCCTATGCTGAAAAAGGAAATATCTACCTATAGAAACTAGACAGAAGCATTCTGAGAATCACGTTTGTGATGTGGGTACTCAACTAACAGTGTTGATCCATTCTTTTCATACAGCAGTTTTTAACCACACTTTTTGTAGAATGTGCAAGTGGATATTTGGATAGCTGTGAGGATTTCGTTGGAAACGGGAATGTCTTCATAGAAAATTTAGACAGGAGCATTCTCAGAACCTTGATTGTGATGTGTGTTCTCCACTAACAGAGTTGAACCTTTCTTTTGACAGAACTGTTCTGAAACATTCTTTTTATAGAATCTGGAAGTGGATATTTGGAAAGCTTTGAGGATTTCGTTGGAAACGGGAATATCTTCAAATCAAATCTAGCCAGAAGCATTCTAAGAAACATCTTAGGGATGTTTACATTCAAGTCACAGAGTTGAACATTCCCTTTCACAGAGCAGGTTTGAAACAATCTTCTCGTACTATCTGGCAGTGGACATTTTGAGCTCCTTGGGGCCTATGCTGAAAAAGGAAATATCTTCCGACAAAAACTAGACAGAAGCATTCGCAGAATCACGTTTGTGATGTGTGCACTCAACTGTCAGAATTGAACCTTGGTTTGGACAGAGCACTTTTGAAACACTCTTTTTGTAGAATCTGCAGGTGGATATTTGGCTAGCTTTGAGGATTTCGTTGGAAACGGTAATGTCTTCAAAGAAAATCTAGACAGAAGCATTCTCAGAAACACCTTCGTGATGTTTGCAATCAAGTCACAGAGTTGAACCTTCCGTTTCATAGAGCAGGTTGGAAACACTCTTATTGTAGTATCTGGAAGTGGACATTTGGAGCGCTTTCAGGCCTATGGTGAAAAAGGAAATATCTTCCCATAAAAACGACATAGAAGCTATCTCAGGAACTTGTTTATGAGGCATCTAATCAACTAACAGTGTTGAACCTTTGTACTGACAGAGCAGTTTGAAACACTCTTTTTTTGGAATCTGCAAGTGGATATTTGGATCGCTTTGAGGATTTCGTTGGAAACGGGATGCAATATAAAACGTACACAGCAGCATACTCAGAAAATACTTTGCCATATTTCCATTCAAGTCACAGAGTGGAACATTCCCATTCATAGAGCAGGTTGGAAACACTCTTTTTGGAGTATCTGGAAGTGGACATTTGGAGCGCTTTCTGAACTATGGTGAAAAAGGAAATATCTTCCAATGAAAACAAGACAGAAGCATTCTGAGAAACTTATTTGTGATGTGTGTCCTCAACTAACGGACTTGAACCTTTCGTTTCATGCAGTACTTCTGGAACACTCTTTTTGAAGATTCTGCATGCGGATCTTTGGATAGCTTTGAGGATTTCTTTGGAAACGGGCTTACATATAAAAATTAGACAGCAGCATTCTCAGAAACTTCTTTGTGGTGTCTGCATTCAAGTCACAGAATTGAACTTCCCCTCACATAGAGCAGTTGTGCAGCACTCTATTTGTAGTATCTCGAAGTGGACATTTGGAGGGCTTTGTAGCCTATCAGGAAAAAGGAAATATCTTCCCATGAATGCGAGATAGAAGTAATCTCAGAAACATGTTTATGCTGTATCTTCTCAACTAACTGTGCTGAACATTTCTATTGATAGAGCAGTTTTGAGACACTCTTCTTTTGGAATCTGCAAGTGGATATTTGGATAGATTTGAGGATTTCGTTGGAAACGGGATTATATATCAAAAGTAGACAGCAGCATTCTCAGAAACTTCTTTGTGATGTTTGCATCCAGCTCTCAGAGTTGAACATTCCCTTTCATAGAGTAGGTTTGAAACCCTCTTTTTATAGTGTCTGGAAGCGGGCATTTGGAGCGCTTTCAGGCCTATGCTGAAAAAGGAAATATCTACCTATAGAAACTAGACAGAAGCATTCTGAGAATCACGTTTGTGATGTGGGTACTCAACTAACAGTGTTGATCCATTCTTTTGATACAGCAGTTTTGAACCACACTTTTTGTAGAATCTGCAAGTGGATATTTGGATAGCTGTGAGGATTTCGTTGGAAACGGGAATGTCTTCATAGAAAATTTAGACAGAAGCATTCTCAGAACCTTGATTGTGATGTGTGTTCTCCACTAACAGAGTTGAACCTTTCTTTTGACAGAACTGTTCTGAAACATTCTTTTTATAGAATCTGGAAGTGGATATTTGGAAAGCTTTGAGGATTTCGTTGGAAACGGGAATATCTTCAAATAAAATCTAGCCAGAAGCATTCTAAGAAACATCTTAGGGATGTTTACATTCAAGTCACAGAGTTGAACATTCCCTTTCACAGAGCAGGTTTGAAACAATCTTCTCGTACTATCTGGCAGTGGACATTTTGAGCTCCTTGGGGCCTATGCTGAAAAAGGAAATATCTTCCGACAAAAACTAGACAGAAGCATTCGCAGAATCACGTTTGTGATGTGTGCACTCAACTGTCAGAATTGAACCTTGGTTTGGACAGAGCACTTTTGAAACACTCTTTTTGTAGAATCTGCAGGTGGATATTTGGCTAGCTTTGAGGATTTCGTTGGAAACGGTAATGTCTTCAAAGAAAATCTAGACAGAAGCATTCTCAGAAACACCTTCGTGATGTTTGCAATCAAGTCACAGAGTTGAACCTTCCGTTTCATAGAGCAGGTTGGAAACACTCTTTTTGTAGTATCTGGAAGTGGACATTTGGAGGGCTTTGTAGCCTATCTGGAAAAAGGAAATATCTTCCCATGAATGCGAGATAGAAGCTATCTCAGGAACTTGTTTATGATGCATCTAATCAACTAACAGTGTTGAACCTTTGTACTGACAGAGCAGTTTGAAACACTCTTTTTTTGGAATCTGCAAGTGGATATTTGGATCGCTTTGAGGATTTCGTTGGAAACGGGATGCAATATAAAACGTACACAGCAGCATACTCAGAAAATTCTTTGCCATATTTCCATTCAAGTCACAGAGTGGAACATTCCCATTCATAGAGCAGGTTGGAAACACTCTTTTTGGAGTATCTGGAAGTGGACATTTGGAGCGCTTTCTGAACTATGGTGAAAAAGGAAATATCTTCCAATGAAAACAAGACAGAAGCATTCTGAGAAACTTATTTGTGATGTGTGTCCTCAACTAACGGACTTGAACCTTTCGTTTCATGCAGTACTTCTGGAACACTCTTTTTGAAGATTCTGCATGCGGATATTTGGATAGCTTTGAGGATTTCGTTGGAAACGGGCTTACATATAAAAATTAGACAGCAGCATTCTCAGAAACTTCTTTGTGGTGTCTGCATTCAAGTCACAGAATTGAACATCCCCTCACATAGAGCAGTTGTGCAGCACTCTATTTGTAGTATCTGGAAGTGGACATTTGGAGGGCTTTGTAGCCTATGTGGAAAAAGGAAATATCTTCCCATGAATGCGAGATAGAAGTAATCTCAGAAACAGGTTTATGCTGTATCTACTCAACTAACTGTGCTGAACATTTCTATTGATAGAGCAGTTTTGAGACACTCTTCTTTTGGAATCTGCAAGTGGATATTTGGATAGATTTGAGGATTTCGTTGGAAACGGGATTATATATAAAAAGTAGACAGCAGCATTCTCAGAAACTTCTTTGTGATGTTTGCATCCAGCTCTCAGAGTTGAACATTCCCTTTCATAGAGTAGGTTTGAAACCCTCTTTTTATAGTGTCTGGAAGCGGGCATTTGGAGCGCTTTCAGGCCTATGCTGAAAAAGGAAATATCTACCTATAGAAACTAGACAGAAGCATTCTGAGAATCACGTTTGTGATGTGGGTACTCAACTAACAGTGTTGATCCATTCTTTTGATACAGCAGTTTTGAACCACACTTTTTGTAGAATCTGGAAGTGGATATTTGGAAAGCTTTGAGGATTTCGTTGGAAACGGGAATATCTTCAAATCAAATCTAGCCAGAAGCATTCTCAGAACCTTGATTGTGATGTGTGTTCTCCACTAACAGAGTTGAACCTTTCTTTTGACAGAACTGTTCTGAAACATTCTTTTTATAGAATCTGGAAGTGGATATTTGGAAAGCTTTGAGGATTTCGTTGGAAACGGGAATATCTTCAAATAAAATCTAGCCAGAAGCATTCTAAGAAACATCTTAGGGATGTTTACATTCAAGTCACAGAGTTGAACATTCCCTTTCACAGAGCAGGTTTGAAACAATCTTCTCGTACTATCTGGCAGTGGACATTTTGAGCTCCTTGGGGCCTATGCTGAAAAAGGAAATATCTTCCGACAAAAACTAGACAGAAGCATTCGCAGAATCACGTTTGTGATGTGTGCACTCAACTGTCAGAATTGAACCTTGGTTTGGACAGAGCACTTTTGAAACACTCTTTTTGTAGAATCTGCAGGTGGATATTTGGCTAGCTTTGAGGATTTCGTTGGAAACGGTAATGTCTTCAAAGAAAATCTAGACAGAAGCATTCTCAGAAACACCTTCGTGATGTTTGCAATCAAGTCACAGAGTTGAACCTTCCGTTTCATAGAGCAGGTTGGAAACACTCTTATTGTAGTATCTGGAAGTGGACATTTGGAGCGCTTTCAGGCCTATGGTGAAAAAGGAAATATCTTCCCATAAAAACGACATAGAAGCTATCTCAGGAACTTGTTTATGAGGCATCTAATCAACTAACAGTGTTGAACCTTTGTACTGACAGAGCAGTTTGAAACACTCTTTTTTTGGAATCTGCAAGTGGATATTTGGATCGCTTTGAGGATTTCGTTGGAAACGGGATGCAATATAAAACGTACACAGCAGCTTACTCAGAAAATACTTTGCCATATTTCCATTCAAGTCACAGAGTGGAACATTCCCATTCATAGAGCAGGTTGGAAACACTCTTTTTGGAGTATCTGGAAGTGGACATTTGGAGCGCTTTCTGAACTATGGTGAAAAAGGAAATATCTTCCAATGAAAACAAGACAGAAACATTCTGAGAAACTTATTTGTGATGTGTGTCCTCAACTAACGGACTTGAACCTTTCGTTTCATGCAGTACTTCTGGAACTCTCTTTTTAAAGATTCTGCATGCAGATATTTGGATAGCTTTGAGGATTTCGTTGGAAACGGGCTTACATATAAAAATTAGACAGCAGCATTCTCAGAAACTTCTTTGTGGTGTCTGCATTCAAGTCACAGAATTGAACATCCCCTCACATAGAGCAGTTGTGCAGCACTCTATTTGTAGTATCTGGAAGTGGACATTTGGAGGGCTTTGTAGCCTATGTGGAAAAAGGAAATATCTTCCCATGAATGCGAGATAGAAGTAATCTCAGAAACATGTTTATGCTGTATCTACTCAACTAACTGTGCTGAACATTTCTATTGATAGAGCAGTTTTGAGACACTCTTCTTTTGGAATCTGCAAGTGGATATTTGGATAGATTTGAGGATTTCGTTGGAAACGGGATTATATATAAAAAGTAGACAGCAGCATTCTCAGAAACTTCTTTGTGATGTTTGCATCCAGCTCTCAGAGTTGAACATTCCCTTTCATAGAGTAGGTTTGAAACCCTCTTTTTATAGTGTCTGGAAGCGGGCATTTGGAGCGCTTTCAGGCCTATGCTGAAAAAGGAAATATCTACCTATAGAAACTAGACAGAAGCATTCTGAGAATCACGTTTGTGATGTGGGTACTCAACTAACAGTGTTGATCCATTCTTTTGATACAGCAGTTTTCAACCACACTTTTTGTAGAATCTGCAAGTGGATATTTGGATAGCTGTGAGGATTTCCTTGGAAACGGGAATGTCTTCATAGAAAATTTAGACAGAAGCATTCTCAGAACCTTGATTGTGATGTGTGTTCTCCACTAACAGGGTTGAACCTTTCTTTTGACAGAACTGTTTTGAAACATTCTTTTTATAGAATCTGGAAGTGGATATTTGGAAAGCTTTGAGGATTTCGTTGGAAACGGGAATATCTTCAAATAAAATCTAGCCAGAAGCATTCTAAGAAACATCTTAGGGATGTTTACATTCAAGTCACAGAGTTGAACATTCCCTTTCACAGAGCAGGTTTGAAACAATCTTCTCGTACTATCTGGCAGTGGACATTTTGAGCTCCTTGGGGCCTATGTTGAAAAAGGAAATATCTTCCGACAAAAACTAGACAGAAGCATTCGCAGAATCACGTTTGTGATGTGTGCACTCAACTGTCAGAATTGAACCTTGGTTTGGACAGAGCACTTTTGAAACACTCTTTTTGTAGAATCTGCAGGTGGATATTTGGCTAGCTTTGAGGATTTCGTTGGAAACGGTAATGTCTTCAAAGAAAATCTAGACAGAAGCATTCTCAGAAACACCTTCGTGATGTTTGCAATCAAGTCACAGAGTTGAACCTTCCGTTTCATAGAGCAGGTTGGAAACACTCTTATTGTAGTATCTGGAAGTGGACATTTGGAGCGCTTTCAGGCCTATGGTGAAAAAGGAAATATCTTCCCATAAAAACGACATAGAAGCTATCTCAGGAACTTGTTTATGATGCATCCAATCAACTAACAGTGTTGAAACTTTGTACTGACAGAGCAGTGTGAAACACTCTTTTTTTTGGAATCTGCAAGTGGATATTTGGATCGCTTTGAGGATTTCGTTGGAAACGGGATGCAATATAAAACGTACACAGCAGCATACTCAGAAAATACTTTGCCATATTTCCATTCAAGTCACAGAGTGGAACATTCCCATTCATAGAGCAGGTTTGACACACTCTTTTTGTAGTATCTGGAAGTGGACATTTGGAGCGCTTTCTGAACTATGGTGAAAAAGGAAATATCTTCCAATGAAAACAAGACAGAAGCATTCTGAGAAACTTATTTGTGATGTGTGTCCTCAACAAACGGACTTGAACCTTTCGTTTCATGCAGTACTTCTGGAACACTCTTTTTGAAGATTCTGCATGCGGATATTTGGATAGCTTTGAGGATTTCGTTGGAAACGGGCTTACATGTAAAAATTAGACAGCAGCATTCTCAGAAACTTCTTTGTGGTGTCTGCATTCAAGTCACAGAATTGAACTTCCCCTCACATAGAGCAGTTGTGCAGCACTCTATTTGTAGTATCTGGAAGTGGACATTTGGAGGGCTTTGTAGCCTATCTGGAAAAAGGAAATATCTTCCCATGAATGCGAGATAGAAGTAATCTCAGAAACATGTTTATGCTGTATCTACTCAACTAACTGTGCTGAACATTTCTATTGATAGAGCAGTTTTGAGACACTCTTCTTTTGGAATCTGCAAGTGGATATTTGGAGAGATTTGAGGATTTCGTTGGAAACGGGATTATATATAAAAAGTAGACAGCAGCATTCTCAGAAACTTCTTTGTGATGTTTGCATCCAGCTCTCAGAGTTGAACATTCCCTTTCATAGAGTAGGTTTGAAACCCTCTTTTTATAGTGTCTGGAAGCGGGCATTTGGAGCGCTTTCAGGCCTATGCTGAAAAAGGAAATATCTACCTATAGAAACTAGACAGAAGCATTCTGAGAATCTCGTTTGTGATGTGGGTACTCAACTAACAGTGTTGATCCATTCTTTTGATACAGCAGTTTTGAACCACACTTTTTGTAGAATCTGCAAGAGGATATTTGGATAGCTGTGAGGATTTCGTTGGAAACGGGAATGTCTTCAAAGAAAATCTAGACAGAAACATTCTCAGAAACACCTTCGTGATGTTTGCAATCAAGTCACAGAGTTGAACCTTCCGTTTCATAGAGCAGGTTGGAAACACTCTTTTTGTAGTATCTGGAAGTGGACATTTGGAGCGCTTTCAGGCCTATGGTGAAAAAGGAAATATCTTCCCATAAAAACGACATAGAAGCTATCTCAGGAACTTGTTTATGATGCATCTAATCAACTAACAGTGTTGAACCTTTGTACTGACAGAGCAGTTTGAAACACTCTTTTTTTGGAATCTGCAAGTGGATATTTGGATCGCTTTGAGGATTTCGTTGGAAACGGGATGCAATATAAAACGTACACAGCAGCATACTCAGAAAATACTTTGCCATATTTCCATTCAAGTCACAGAGTGGAACATTCCCATTCATAGAGCAGGTTTGAAACACTCTTTTTGGAGTATCTGGAAGTGGACATTTGGAGCGCTTTCTGAACTATGGTGAAAAAGGAAATATCTTCCAATGAAAACAAGACAGAAGCATTCTGAGAAACTTATTTGTGATGTGTGTCCTCAACAAACGGACTTGAACCTTTCGTTTCATGCAGTACTTCTGGAACACTCTTTTTGAAGATTCTGCATGCGGATATTTGGATAGCTTTGAGGATTTCGTTGGAAACGGGCTTACATGTAAAAATTAGACAGCAGCATTCTCAGAAACTTCTTTGTGGTGTCTGCATTCAAGTCACAGAATTGAACTTCCCCTCACATAGAGCAGTTGTGCAGCACTCTATTTGTAGTATCTCGAAGTGGACATTTGGAGGGCTTTGTAGCCTATCCTGGAAAAAGGAAATATCTTCCCATGAATGCGAGATAGAAGTAATCTCAGAAACATGTTTATGCTGTATCTACTCAACTAACTGTGCTGAACATTTCTATTGATAGAGCAGTTTTGAGACCCTCTTCTTTTGGAATCTGCAAGTGGATATTTGGATAGATTTGAGGATTTCGTTGGAAACGGGATTATATATAAAAAGTAGACAGCAGCATTCTCAGAAACTTCTTTGTGATGTTTGCATCCAGCTCTCAGAGTTGAACATTCCCTTTCATAGAGTAGGTTTGAAACCCTCTTTTTATAGTGTCTGGAAGCGGGCATTTGGAGCGCTTTCAGGCCTATGCTGAAAAAGGAAATATCTACCTATAGAAACTAGACAGAAGCATTCTGAGAATCTCGTTTGTGATGTGGGTACTCAACTAACAGTGTTGATCCATTCGTTTGATACAGCAGTTTTGAACCACACTTTTTGTAGAATCTGCAAGAGGATATTTGGATAGCTGTGAGGATTTCGTTGGAAACGGGAATGTCTTCAAAGAAAATCTAGACAGAAGCATTCTCAGAACCTTGATTGTGATGTGTGTTCTCCACTAACAGAGTTGAACCTTTCTTTTGACAGAACTGTTCTGAAACATTCTTTTTATAGAATCTGGAAGTGGATATTTGGAAAGCTTTGAGGATTTCGTTGGAAACGGGAATATCTTCAAATAAAATCTAGCCAGAAGCATTCTAAGAAACAGCTTAGGGATGTTTACATTCAAGTCACAGAGTTGAACATTCCCTTTCACAGAGCAGGTTTGAAACAATCTTCTCGTACTATCTGGCAGTGGACATTTTGAGCTCCTTGGGGCCTATGCTGAAAAAGGAAATATCTTCCGACAAAAACTAGACAGAAGCATTCGCAGAATCACGTTTGTGATGTGTGCACTCAACTGTCAGAATTGAACCTTGGTTTGGACAGAGCACTTTTGAAACACTCTTTTTGTAGAATCTGCAGGTGGATATTTGGCTAGCTTTGAGGATTTCGTTGGAAACGGTAATGTCTTCAAAGAAAATCTAGACAGAAGCATTCTCAGAAACACCTTCGTGATGTTTGCAATCAAGTCACAGAGTTGAACCTTCCGTTTCATAGAGCAGGTTGGAAACACTCTTTTTGTAGTATCTGGAAGTGGACATTTGGAGGGCTTTGTAGCCTATGTGGAAAAAGGAAATATCTTCCCATGAATGCGAGATAGAAGCTATCTCAGGAAATTGTTTATGATGCATCTAATCAACTAACAGTGTTGAACCTTTGTACTGACAGAGCACTTTGAAACACTCTTTTTTTGGAATCTGCAAGTGGATATTTGGATCGCTTTGAGGATTTCGTTGGAAACGGGATGCAATATAAAACGTACACAGCAGCATACTCAGAAAATACTTTGCCATATTTCCATTCAAGTCACAGAGTGGAACATTCCCATTCATAGAGCAGGTTGGAAACACTCTTTTTGGAGTATCTGGAAGTGGACATTTGGAGCGCTTTCTGAACTATGGTGAAAAAGGAAATATCTTCCAATGAAAACAAGACAGAAGCATTCTGAGAAACTTATTTGTGATGTGTGTCCTCAACAAACGGTCTTGAACCTTTCGTTTCATGCAGTACTTCTGGAACACTCTTTTTGAAGATTCTGCATGCGGATATTTGGATAGCTTTGAGGATTTCGTTGGAAACGGGCTTACATGTAAAAATTAGACAGCAGCATTCTCAGAAACTTCTTTGTGGTGTCTGCATTCAAGTCACAGAATTGAACTTCCCCTCACATAGAGCAGTTGTGCAGCACTCTATTTGTAGTATCTGGAAGTGGACATTTGGAGGGCTTTGTAGCCTATCTGGAAAAAGGAAATATCTTCCCATGAATGCGAGATAGAAGTAATCTCAGAAACATGTTTATGCTGTATCTACTCAACTAACTGTGCTGAACATTTCTATTGATAGAGCAGTTTTGAGACACTCTTCTTTTGGAATCTGCAAGTGGATATTTGGATAGATTTGAGGATTTCGTTGGAAACGGGATTATATATAAAAAGTAGACAGCAGCATTCTCAGAAACTTCTTTGTGATGTTTGCATCCAGCTCTCAGAGTTGAACATTCCCTTTCATAGAGTAGGTTTGAAACCCTCTTTTTATAGTGTCTGGAAGCGGGCATTTGGAGCGCTTTCAGGCCTATGCTTAAAATAGGAAATATCTACCTACAGAAACTAGACAGAAGCATTCTGAGAATCACGTTTGTGATGTGGGTACTCAACTAACAGTGTTGATCCATTCTTTTGATACAGCAGTTTTGAACCACACTTTTTGTAGAATCTGCAAGTGGATATTTGGATAGCTGTGAGGATTTCGTTGGAAACGGGAATGTCTTCATAGAAAATTTAGACAGAAGCATTCTCAGAACCTTGATTGTGATGTGTGTTCTCCACTAACAGAGTTGAACCTTTCTTTTGACAGAACTGTTCTGAAACATTCTTTTTATAGAATCTGCAAGTGGATATTTGGAAAGCTTTGAGGATTTCGTTGGAAACGGGAATATCTTCAAATAAAATCTAGCCAGAAGCATTCTAAGAAACATCTTAGGGATGTTTACATTCAAGTCACAGAGTTGAACATTCCCTTTCACAGAGCAGGTTTGAAACAATCTTCTCGTACTATCTGGCAGTGGACATTTTGAGCTCCTTGGGGCCTATGCTGAAAAAGGAAATATCTTCCGACAAAAACTAGACAGAAGCATTCGCAGAATCACGTTTGTGATGTGTGCACTCAACTGTCAGAATTGAACCTTGGTTTGGACAGAGCACTTTTGAAACACTCTTTTTGTAGAATCTGCAGGTGGATATTTGGCTAGCTTTGAGGATTTCGTTGGAAACGGTAATGTCTTCAAAGAAAATCTAGACAGAAACATTCTCAGAAACACCTTCGTGATGTTTGCAATCAAGTCACAGAGTTGAACCTTCCGTTTCATAGAGCAGGTTGGAAACACTCTTTTTGTAGTATCTGGAAGTGGACATTTGGAGCGCTTTCAGGCCTATGGTGAAAAAGGAAATATCTTCCCATAAAAACGACATAGAAGCTATCTCAGGAACTTGTTTATGATGCATCTAATCAACTAACAGTGTTGAACCTTTGTACTGACAGAGCAGTTTGAAACACTCTTTTTTTGGAATCTGCAAGTGGATATTTGGATCGCTTTGAGGATTTCGTTGGAAACGGGATGCAATATAAAACGTACACAGCAGCATACTCAGAAAATACTTTGCCATATTTCCATTCAAGTCACAGAGTGGAACATTCCCATTCATAGAGCAGGTTGGAAACACTCTTTTTGGAGTATCTGGAAGTGGACATTTGGAGCGCTTTCTGAACTATGGTGAAAAAGGAAATATCTTCCAATGAAAACAAGACAGAAGCATTCTGAGAAACTTATTTGTGATGTGTGTCCTCAACTAACGGACTTGAACCTTTCGTTTCATGCAGTACTTCTGGAACACTCTTTTTGAAGATTCTGCATGCGGATATTTGGATAGCTTTGAGGATTTCGTTGGAAACGGGCTTACATATAAAAATTAGACAGCAGCATTCTCAGAAACTTCTTTGTGGTGTCTGCATTCAAGTCACAGAATTGAACATCCCCTCACATAGAGCAGTTGTGCAGCACTCTATTTGTAGTATCTGGAAGTGGACATTTGGAGGGCTTTGTAGCCTATGTGGAAAAAGGAAATATCTTCCCATGAATGCGAGATAGAAGTAATCTCAGAAACATGTTTATGCTGTATCTACTCAACTAAGTGTGCTGAACATTTCTATTGATAGAGCAGTTTTGAGACACTCTTCATTTGGAATCTGCAAGTGGATATTTGGATAGATTTGAGGATTTCTTTGGAAACGGGATTATACATAAAAAGTAGACAGCAGCATTCTCAGAAACTTCTTTGTGGTGTCTGCATTCAAGTCACAGAATTGAACATCCCCTCACATAGAGCAGTTGTGCAGCACTCTATTTGTAGTATCTCGATGTGGACATTTGGAGGGCTTTGTAGCCTATCTGGAAAAAGGAAATATCTTCCCATGAATGCGAGATAGAAGTAATCTCAGAAACATGTTTATGCTGTATCTACTCAACTAACTGTGCTGAAGATTTCTATTGATAGAGCAGTTTTGAGACACTCTTCTTTTGGAATCTGCAAGTGGATATTTGGATAGATTTGAGGATTTCGTTGGAAACGGGATTATATATGAAAAGTAGACAGCAGCATTCTCAGAAACTTCTTTGTGATGTTTGCATCCAGCTCTCCGAGTTGAACATTCTCTTTCATAGAGTAGGTTTGAAACCCCCTTTTTATAGTGTCTGGAAGCGGGCATTTGGAGCGCTTTCAGGCCTATGCTGAAAAAGGAAATATCTACCTACAGAAACTAGACTGAAGCAATCTGAGAATCACGTTTGTGATGTGGGTACTCAACTAACAGTGTTGATCCATTCTTTTGATACAGCAGTTTTGAACCACCCTTTTTGTAGAATCTGCAAGTGGATATTTGGATAGCTGTGGGGATTTCGTTGGAAACGGGAATGTCTTCATAGAAAATTTAGACAGAAGCATTCTCAGTAACCTTGATTGTGATGTGTGTTCTCCACTAACAGAGTTGAACCTTTCTTTTGACAGAACTGTTCTGAAACATTCTTTTTATAGAATCTGGAAGTGGATATTTGGAAAGCTTTGAGGATTTCATTGGAAACGGGAATATCTTCAAATAAAATCTAGCCAGAAGCATTCTAAGAAACAGCTTAGGGATGTTTACATTCAAGTCACAGAGTTGAACATTCCCTTTCACAGAGCAGGTTTGAAACAATCTTCTCGTACTATCTGGCAGTGGACATTTTGAGCTCCTTGGGGCCTATGCTGAAAAAGGAAATATCTTCCGACAAAAACTAGACAGAAGCATTCGCAGAATCACGTTTGTGATGTGTGCACTCAACTGTCAGAATTGAACCTTGGTTTGGACAGAGCACTTTTGAAACACTCTTTTTGTAGAATCTGCAGGTGGATATTTGGCTAGCTTTGAGGATTTCGTTGGAAACGGTAATGTCTTCAAAGAAAATCTAGACAGAAGCATTCTCAGAAACACCTTCGTGATGTTTGCAATCAAGTCACAGAGTTGAACCTTCCGTTTCATAGAGCAGGTTGGAAACACTCTTTTTGTAGTATCTGGAAGTGGACATTTGGAGCGCTTTCAGGCCTATGGTGAAAAAGGAAATATCTTCCCATAAAAACGACATAGAAGCTATCTCAGGAACTTGTTTATGATGCATCTAATCAACTAACAGTGTTGAACCTTTGTACTGACAGAGCAGTTTGAAACACTCTTTTTTTGGAATCTGCAAGTGGATATTTGGATCGCTTTGAGGATTTCGTTGGAAACGGGATGCAATATAAAACGTACACAGCAGCATACTCAGAAAATACTTTGCCATATTTCCATTCAAGTCACAGAGTGGAACATTCCCATTCATAGAGCAGGTTGGAAACACTCTTTTTGGAGTATCTGGAAGTGGACATTTGGAGCGCTTTCTGAACTATGGTGAAAAAGGAAATATCTTCCAATGAAAACAAGACAGAAGCATTCTGAGAAACTTATTTGTGATGTGTGTCCTCAACAAACGGACTTGAACCTTTCGTTTCATGCAGTACTTCTGGAACACTCTTTTTGAAGATTCTGCATGCGGATATTTGGATAGCTTTGAGGATTTCGTTGGAAACGGGCTTACATGTAAAAATTAGACAGCAGCATTCTCAGAAACTTCTTTGTGGTGTCTGCATTCAAGTCACAGAATTGAACATCCCCTCACATAGAGCAGTTGTGCAGCACTCTATTTGTAGTATCTGGAAGTGGACATTTGGAGGGCTTTGTAGCCTATCTGGAAAAAGGAAATATCTTCCCATGAATGCGAGATAGAAGTAATCTCAGAAACATGTTTATGCTGTATCTACTCAACTAACTGTGCTGAACATTTCTATTGATAGAGCAGTTTTGAGACACTCTTCTTTTGGAATCTGCAAGTGGATATTTGGATAGATTTGAGGATTTCCTTGGAAACGGGATTCTATATCAAAAGTAGACAGCAGCATTCTCAGAAACTTCTTTGTGATGTTTGCATCCAGCTCTCAGAGTTGAACATTCCCTTTCATAGAGTAGGTTTGAAACCCTCTTTTTATAGTGTCTGGAAGCGGGCATTTGGAGCGCTTTCAGGCCTATGCTGAAAAAGGAAATATCTACCTATAGAAACTAGACAGAAGCATTCTGAGAATCACGTTTGTGATGTGGGTACTCAACTAACAGTGTTGATCCATTCTTTTGATACAGCAGTTTTGAACCACACTTTTTGTAGAATCTGCAAGTGGATATTTGGATAGCTGTGAGGATTTCGTTGGAAACGGGAATGTCTTCATAGAAAATTTAGACGGAAGCATTCTCAGAACCTTGATTGTGATGTGTGTTCTCCACTAACAGAGTTGAACCTTTCTTTTGACAGAACTGTTCTGAAACATTCTTTTTATAGAATCTGGAAGTGGATATTTGGAAAGCTTTGAGGATTTCGTTGGAAACGGGAATATCTTCAAATCAAATCTAGCCAGAAGCATTCTAAGAAACATCTTAGGGATGTTTACATTCAAGTCACAGAGTTGAACATTCCCTTTCACAGAGCAGGTTTGAAACAATCTTCTCGTACTATCTGGCAGTGGACATTTTGAGCTCCTTGGGGCCTATGCTGAAAAAGGAAATATCTTCCGACAAAAACTAGACAGATTTTTTTTTTTTTTTTAAAGATGGGCTTGCGCTCTGTCGCCCAGGATGGAGTGATACAGCAGTTTTGAACCACACTTTTTGTAGAATCTGCAAGAGGATATTTGGATAGCTGTGAGGATTTCGTTGGAAACGGGGATGTCTTCAAAGAAAATCTAGACAGAAG